>NC_000006.12:48241818-48544848 GCF_000001405.40 Homo sapiens | reverse complement strand
AGGGTTCTTTGATGAATTACAATTACTATTATAATTAATTTTGGGCACCAAAAACCATACCCATATGACAGTGAATTTAATTGATGAATGTTGTATGTGTTCTGACTGCTACACTGACCAGTCATTATTTTGTTTCTTTCCTTCTCCTTGGGCCTCCCTAGTCCTTGAGACACATCAATATTGAAATTAGGCCAATTAATAACCTTACAATGGACTCGAGGTATTCATGTGGATGGAAGGGTTATTGGCCTCTCATTTTAATTTGAAAGCTAGAGATAACTATGGTTAGTGAGGAAGGAATGTCCCAATCCAAGATATACTGAAAGCAAGGCCTCTTACACCAAATGGTTAGTTAAGTCATGAAAGCAAAGGGAATGTTCTTGAAGGAAAATAAAAGTGCTATTCCAGTGAACACACACACACAGAGACACACACACACACACACACACACAAAACAGACTTTTGCTGATTTACAGGACGTTTGAGTGGTCTGCATAGAAGATCAAGCCAGCCACAACCTTTCCTTAAGCCAAAGCCTAATCCAGAGCAAGACCCTAACTCTCTTCATTTATACAAAGGCTGAGGCAGTTGAGGAAGCTGTAGAAGAAAAGTTTGAGGCTACCAGAGGTTTGTTTGTGAGGTTTAAGGAAAGAAGCCATGTGTACAACATGAAAGTGCAAAGTGAAGCAAGTGTTGATGTAGAAGCTACAGCAAGTTATCCAGAAGATTAGACTAAGATGATGGATGAAGGTGGTTACACTAGACAATAGATATACAATGGAGATAAAACACCCTTTTTTTTTTTTTTTTTTAGAAAAAGATGCCACCTAACAGCTTTTACAACTAGGCAGGAAAAGTCAATACCTGGCTTCAAAGCTTCAAAAGACAAACTTACTTTTATTAGGGGCTAATGTAATTGGTGACTTTAAGTTGAAGCCAATGATTATTGACCATCCCAAATTTATATGGCTCTTAACACTGATGCTAAATCTATTATGCCTGTGCCATATAAATTGAAGAACAAAGCCTTGACAACAGCACATCTGTTTACAGCATGGTTTACTGAATATTTTAAGCCCACTGTTGAGACCTACTGCTGAGAAAAAAATAGTCCTTTTAAAATATCACTGCTTATTAACAATATACCTGTTCACCCAAGAGCTCTGATGAAGATGTACAAGGAGGTGAATGTTGTTTTCATGCCTGCTAACACAACAGCCATTCTGCTGATCATGTGTCAAGGAGTAATTTTGACTTTCAAGTTGTATGATTTAAGAAATACCTTTTATAAGGCTATAGTTGTCGTAGATAGTGATTCTTCTCATGTATCTGGGAAAAGTATATTAAAAACTTTCTGGAAAGGATTTCAAATTCTAGATGCCATTAAGAACATTCACGATTCATGGGAAGAAGTCGATATATCAATATAAACAGGAGTTTGAAGGAAATTGATTTTAACTCTCATGGGTGACTTTGAGGGGGTTCAAGAGTTCAATGGAGAAAGTCACTGAAGATGTGGTAGAAATAGAAAAAGAACTAGAATTAAAAATGGATGCTTAAGATTATTTTTGACTAAATTGCTGAAATCTTTTTTTTTTTTTTTTTAGACGGAGTCTCACTGTCGTCCAGGCTGGAGTGCAGTGGCGCGATCTCGGCTCATTGCAGGCTCCGCCCCCCGGGGGTTCACGCCATTCTCCTGCCTCAGCCTCCCAAGTAGCTGGGACTACAGGCGCCCACCACCTCGCCCGGCTAATTTTTTGTATTTTTAGTAGAGACGGGGTTTCATCGTGTTAGCCAGGATGGTCTCGATCTCCTGACCTCGTGATCCACCTGCCTCGGCCTCCCAAAGTGCTGGGATTACAGGCGTGAGCCACTGCACCTAGCCAATTGCTGCAATCTTACAATGAAACTTGAACAAATGAAGAACTGCTTCTTATGAATGAGCAAAGAAAGTGTTTTTTAAGATAGAGTCTACTCCTGGTAAAGATGCTATGAACATTGTTGAAAATATAACAAAAGATTTAGGATATTACATAAACTTAATTGATAGGCTGGACTCACTGGCTCATGCCTATAATCCCAGGCTGAAGTAGAAGCAGAATAAAACCCTGTCTCTAAAAAAATTAAAATTCATACTTAAATAAATTTTAATTGATAAAGCAGTGGTAGAGTCTGATAGAAGAGATTCTAATTTTGAAAGATGTTCTACTGTGAGTTAAATGCTATCACACAGCACCACATGCTACAAAGAAAACTTTTCTTTCTTTTTTATTTTTATTTTTGGAAAGAAAGTCTCACTCTATGGCCCAGGATGGAGTGCAGTGGTGTCATCACAGCTCATTGCAGCCTAGAACTCCTAATCTCCAGGGATCCTCCTGCCTCAGCCTTTTGAGTATTTGGAAATATAGGCACTTGCCACAAATCCAGGCTAATTAAAAACATATTTTTAGAGATAGGGCCTGCTATGTTGCGCAAGTTGATCTAACTCCTGGCCTCAAAGAATCATCCTGCTTTAGCCTTTCAAGTACATGGGAATGCAGGCATGAGCCATCACACTTAGCTCTACGGAAAAATATTTTCTGAATGGAAGAGTCAATCAATGCAGCAAACTTTATTGGTATCTTATTTTAAGAAATTCCCACAGCCATCCCAACCTTCAACAACAACCACTCTGATCAGTCAGTAGCCATCAACATTGAGGGAAGACCCTCCATCAGCAAAAACATTACAACTTACTGAAGCCTCCGCTGATCGTTAGCATTTTATAGTAATAAGGTATTTTTAATTAAGATGTGTATTTTTTAAAAAGTGTAATACTATTGAACACTTAATAGACTATAGTATAGTGTACACATGATTTTTATATGCACTGGGAAAACAAAATTCCTGTGACTTACTTTATTGTCCTGGTTTGGAACTGAAATTGCTCTGAGGTATGCCTGTACTTTCTTGGGTTTTGTTTGTTTGTTTATCATCTGACTCATCTCACTTAGAATGTAAGATGCATAACAGCAGAGATTAGATCTGCTTTGTATTTCAGTATGTCAGAACTGTCAATTTAAAAGATTTGTGAGCAAGATTGTTAAAGGTGCTTCTTGCTCAAAAATCATTTTTTAGCTATCTGCTAGAAAATTGTCATAATAAATACATAAATCTATAATGACTTGAATTGTCCTAAAATTTCACAGTAGACAACCTGCAAAACTGTAAGTAACATCCTTAGTAACCCTGCTAAGAACCTGTATGAGTTGACTGGATTATTTACTGGATGAGTGATTACCAATACATTTACAGTTGTAAATGTATACCTTTGGTTTTAGGCTTTAAGCTCCTTGAATTTTTTTACCCCTTATGAAGCTTGGTATAATATATTTTCCTCAGTAGAAATTCAACAAATTTCTTTGTTTAAATAGATTAAAATGGCATCTCGGAATAATAAGAATCTTAGGAAAAAAGACTTAATAAGAAGCCAAATATAATTAGAATTACCAATGAGGGAGTTACTTACTTCTTTCATTTCCTAAAATTTCCTTTACATGATTACTTTTCATTTGAATAAGACCTCTCTCTCTATCTCTCTGTCTGTCTTTCTGTCTCTGTCTCTCTCTCTCTCCATCTCTCTTTGGAATCAATCTGTGCTAAGAGCATAAACAGAGTTGTTATGGCTCTTAGGGTCTACTGGGTGTAGAGAAATACTTGTCGTTTATGAACAAAAATTCCCTGGATTTTTACAGTGTGCCAGACTCTACCCTAGGAACTAGAAGACATAATGATGACCAGACCCTCAGAGGGATAAGATTTACTCAAGTAACTATAGTACAAATTAGTAAGAGATAAACTGCTGAACAAAATGCAGATAAGTAGTTATAAAAGTTAATGGAAGGATGAGCAAATTTCTATATAGAGAAACAGAGGTGATTTTCTGATTGAAATATTTTTGTTCCACATATAAATAACTTTTTTTTTTTTTGACAGTCTCACTCTGTCACCAGGCTAGAGTACAGTGGTGCGATCTTGGCTTACTGCAACCTCCACCTCCTGGATTCAAACAATTCTCCCGCCTCAGCCTCCTGAGTAGCTGGGACTACAGGCGCATGCCACCATGCCCAGCTAATTTTTTTGTGTGTGTTTTAGTAGAGACGGGGTTTCACTGTGTTGCCCAGGCTGGTCTCGAACTCCTGAGCTCAGACAATCCTCCCGCCTGGGCCTTCCAAAGTGCTAGGATTACAGGTGTAAGCCACAGTGCCCGGCTTTGAATAAAAACTTTCAAAAGCTTTTTGATCCATTGTAACATAGTATCATCTTCCAGTAATCGATGACGAGATACTAAAAAGATAATAGCTGTAAGGTTCCCATTCTTGGAAGCCTGAATAATAAAAGTATATGAAATGCTTTAAACTTGTATACTTCAACATAAAATGGAATCAATGCTATTTGCAATTGAATATATGTTGCTATGTGTATTGTATGAGGACTTTAAGAGGCTGTTGATATCACACATAAAAACCATATTGATTTGTAAATACTACCTGTCTTAAAAATGGTACAGAAAGCCCACTTTAGAGAAGACCATTGTCCCCAATCTGAAGAAATAACACAGAGATGTTGAAGAAGACAAAGGATTTCACAAGATGAGGAGATGATATCTCTCAGGAGAGATACTGATGGAAATTAGATCGCCATGAACAATTCTGAACTTGGATGCCATGGACCACTATGGCAGTCTGATGAAGCCTGTGGTCATCTTTTCAACTAATATAAATGTGTATAAATGCATTCAATTATAGATATAGGATTGCAAACTAAAGTCATTGATTGAACTGTTATTTTATTCAATGGAAGTCCATGAGCCCAAGTTTAAGAACCTCTGTACATCTGTTTGCTACAAGTCTTCCAAGTATGTATATTGCAAAGCTGAATAAGTTACATGAGGCTCAGTTTCTCAGCTATAAAATGTGAGAACAGCAAAAGTAACTCATAATTCCATGCATTCAGGTAAGGATTAAATAAAACAACACACGTAAGGAAGTTAGCACACTGTGCTATGGCCTTTAAGTGCCTAAGGAATGTTACTTATTAAGATTTTATATACTTTCCCATCCCACTATGTTGACTGTGGAGAAAAATAAGCTCCCCAAAGGGGACTCTTCCATATATGCTAACGCCAAGCTGTTTAGTTTCAAGGAGAAGACAAATGTCAGTTTCTCTTTCAAGTACATGTCCCTATTAGTGAGGTGATATTTATTAAATGTTTGCTTCACTAGGTCAGCCAGGAGCAGGCTTTCAATTTTTATACTCCCAAAGGCTTACTATCCACTGCATGAACCAAGAAGTCAGTTCAGTAGAAAATTAGAGGGGGGGGGGGGGGAAGGCCTTCTTAAAAACAAGGTTAAAGAAAAGAGAAATTTGGGGAGTTAGAAGCTCTAAATAATTCTATTCAAAATTTAAAGTAAGTTTAAATGGAATAAGTCTGTGAACACCTGCATGGTTAACAATAAACAGAAAAAAGAGAAGATAGTACATTAAAACTAAAAAGTCAGCCTCCACCTGGGAAGAAAGTACCTTACCTGGCATAAGTCTGTCAGCTCTTGGTCTGCCTCATTAGCGTCTTTGCAGAGTGGTGCAAATTCTCCCTAGAGAAATCCTTATCTGCAAAGAAACATTGGCACTGTGTTAAGTATGGGTAATACTTTACTCATTTTTGATGGGGGAAAAACACAGAATGCTTTTCTGCTAGGAAAGTATCTGGCTTCTTTCTTCCCATGTGAAAATCCAATAGTGGGAATCAAGAAAGGATTAAGTCTTAACTTAAAGGGCTAAGTCTTTTTTTTATATATATACTTTAAGTTCTAGGGTACATGTGCACAATGTGCAGGTTTGTTACATATGTATACATGTGCCATGTTGGTGTGCTGCACCCATTAACTGGTGATTTACATTAGGTATATCTCCTAAAAGATAACCCTCCCCCCTCCCCCCACCCCACAACAGGCCCCGGTGAGTGATGTCCCCCTTCCTGTGTCCAAGTGTTCTCATTGTTCAATTCCCACCTATGAGTGAGAACATGTGGTGTTTGGTTTTTTGTCCTTGTGATAGTTTGCTGAGAATGATGGTTTCCAGCTTCATCCATGTCCCTACAAAGGACATGAACTCATTATTTTTTACGGCTGCATAGTATTCCATGGTGTATATGTGCCACATTTTCGTAATCCAGTCTATCATTGCTGGACATTTGGGTTGGTTCCAGGTCTTTGCTATTGTGAATAGTGCTGCAATAAACATACATGTGCATGTGTCTTTATAGCAGCATGATTTATAATCCTTTGGGTATATACCCAGTAATGGGATGGCTGGGTCAAATGGTATTTCTAGTTCTAGATCCTTGAGGAATCACCACACTGTCTTCCGCAATGGTTGAACCAGTTTACAATCCCACCGACAATGTAAAATTGTTCCTATTTCTCCACGTCCTCTCCAGCACCTGTTGTTTCCTGACTTTTTAATGATCGCCATTCTAACTGGTGTGAGATGGTATCTCATTGTAGTTTTGATTTGCATTTCTCTGATGGCCAGTGATGATGAGCATTTTTTCATGCGTCTGTTGGCTGCATAAATGTCTTCTTTTGAGAAGTGTCTGTTCATATACTTCGCCCACTAGTTGATGGGGTTGTTTTTTCTTGTAAATTTGTTTGAGTTTTTAAAGGGCTAAGTCTTACCCTCAGCACTGTGCATCCCCATGATTCAATTACCTCACACCAGATCCCTCCCACAACACATGGGAATTTAAGATGAGATTTGGATGGGGACACAGCTAAACCATAGCAAGTTGTAAAAAAGTTGGCTTTACCTTCCTACTCATTTTTCTCTTTTCCCTGCTATCTTGATCAACTTGAGAACCAAATTTCACATATTAAACGAAATTCAGAGGGTTATAGAGATGATCTTACAGGTTTCTGAGAAATGAGGAGTCTCGCAAGAATGATTGTGTGTACATTACAGAAAGGGAAAGAATTTGGAGTAGCAGCTTTATCCAAAAAGCATGGGTGAGCTTCAGGACAAAATTCTGTGCAGTATGCAATGATTATAATGTTCTCTGTCCTACTCTATTTTTCAGGGAGCCCTGTTACAGCCATAGGAAAATAAGGTAGTAAAACTAAGTGCTCACAAGGTATTTGCAACTGTTGGCCTATGTAACTGGCTGTAGTGTGGCTGGGGTGAGGGAAACCTTCCCTATTCTTATAATAACTACTAATGCTGGACAAGTAGTCATCTATAGTGAAAGTGAAGCAGAGGAGGGCATCATATACAAAGGATAAGGTGACATGGGATATCACCTCAGCCACCAACGTAGGAAGAGAAGAAATAACTTCTGTGGGCACTTTTAAACATGACTTGGAGACTTTCTGAAATAGCTAGGTAAGGGTGTGAAACTTGGCTATATTGGAATTTTGAGGTTGGGAACAAAGCAGATAAACATAGGTTTTAAATATGACAACTAATTTAATATACTATCAAAGTATTGAGCCTTTTCCCAGGCACATTAAATCCACTTTCAGTGTAGAATCTAGCAATCTGAGTTTGAGCAACCCTTCCTGGTGATGTTGATACATGCTGAGTATGAGAACCACTCAATAGGATGATGTTTGAGATCCTATAGCAGACCTTGGTCTAGAAGAGTGGTTCTCAATGAGAGGCTATTTTGCTCCCCAGAAGACATTTGGTAATATCTGAACACATTTTTGGTTATTAACAGTGGGAAGGTGTGGATGATACTGACCACTAATGTGTAGAGGTCAAGAATACTGCTAAACATTCTGCAATGTATAACACAGCACCCAACACCCAACAAAGAATTAACTGTCCTAAAATGTCTATAGTTCACAATTGAAGAAATCCTCATCAAGAGTGGCTTTCAACTTAAGCACACATTTTAATACCTCTGAAGCTTTAAAATTATTGCTGTTTCCATCTTTTTTTCAAAGATTCTTATTTAATGGATATAGAATTTAACCTAGGCAACAGAAGTTGAGAACCACTGGACTGGAAGCTTGGTCTCTTTAATGCCCTCTCTATAATTAGCAAAGAGGTTCCTGTATTGGGGATTTTACAGACCTGGTGTGAAGGCTTGTATATTTGGGAAACCATTGCCTGAGACTGGTAAACTGAGTGCCAGGGGAGAAAAGAACATCCCATTAAATTTACTTGCTAAATTGTTGATGATTACACATGTAATGATTATAGTTTTTTGATGACTACACATGTCAGAACTATTCTTCCCTTATTCCATGTTTATCATCTAAGGCTATCCATTAGCTTTGCCCTTTTACCCATGTTATTGTCAAAACTTATAAGCTTAACTATAAAGTACAGAAATTATTGATTTAATAAATCCTTCCAACATGTATATTTGTGATATATTTTGTTTCATTTTAGCCCCTCCTTCCCCTACCATATGAGCTCCTAGCTAGCTTTGGGCAGAAAACTTAACCTCTAGGTTCTTTGATTTCTTCATCTTTAATACCTATTCTTTAGAACTGCTGATGTGATCAAATGAGGTGAACCATAGGACACATCTAGCGCAGGGCTTAAAATATGCCTACCTCTTGATCAATGGTAGCTGATAATTATTCTTCTCAGATGTTTGAGAAGAAAATCAACTCACCTCTAAATAAGGGTTTTAAGCCCACTATTTTTTGTTTCTTTGTTTCAAAGTCATTCAATAGTCTTGAATTACTCAAACTATCCATACTAAATAAGTATATTTAAGCACTGTGGAAATAAATGAAGACCAATCAAATGACAATAAGTAATGGCTGTTTATTCAGAGCTTGTTACAGCCAGGGAGTCAGTCATTATCACTTGGTTTGGCAGGGACTCAAAGGCAGGCAAAGGAATGTGAAAGCTTTATAGTTATTGAAAGGGAAAGCTTCAGGTATTCCCTGATTGGAGACTGTTGGCATGTGGAAGCTAGAGACAGGCTAACTAGCAGTGGGACACCCTAGGTGATTTGTTAGTCTAGGATAACTGGCTTTCTTTGATTGGTCCTAAATAGGAAAGTAAAGGTGGTTAAGGGCTTAGGATGTGGGAATTAGGGAAGCTGTCAGTTACTGATTAAGTTCTGACCATTTGTGGGCATTTGCTATGCAGATTGTGGTTTGGCTTCCTGAACCGGTTGCTGCAGATTGTGGTTTAGCTCCTCATTGTGGTTTAGCTTCCCTAGCTGGTTGCTGGGGGTTGCAGGTCAGAGTTCTATTTTAGTACAGATGCTCCTTGACTTACTATGACACTACATCCTGGTAAACCTATTGTAAATTGACAACAATGTAAATTGAAATACATTTAATATACCTAACCTACAAAACATCATAGCTTAGCCTATCCTACCTTAAATATACTCAGAACACTTATATTATCTTATAGTTGGGCAAAATCATCTAACATAAAGGTTATTAAAACAAAAAGTTGAATATCTTATGTAATTTATTGAATTCTATACTGAAAGTGAAAAACAGAATAGTTGTTCTACTGAATGCCTACTGCTTTATACTATTTTAAAGTCAAAAAATCTTAAATCAAACTTTTATAAGTTGAGGAACATCTGTATATGGTATGGGCATTGTGCTTTGTATATTCAGTATAAGGAATGCTGATGATTTTAGTAAATAAGACCAGTATAAAGTAGAAGTGGTTGTACATCTTCTTAGGAGGCTCTAAAGCTATTACTAAAAAATCCATTTGCTAATGCCCAAAATTCTTTCAAAGTGGAGCTGTGTTAAAATTCAGGATAATTAACTTTAAGGAAATTATTTGGTTTGAACACTAAACTTTATGCTTGTTTAATCTACTCAGCCTGTTTTTCAAAGTAAATGGATATGATAGACCTACTTACATTACAAACACACATTTACATGTGGTACCTGTGTATGCCCAACTTTGGCACACATGACCATGCTCTTTACTTTTATCCTCTCATTAATAATCATAAATTTACATGGATAATGTAAATATTGAATAAAAAATTCTACGTAAGCTTTCAAGAGCCACCTTCCATGTTTAACACTTCTAAATCCTAATTTATTCTTTTAGAAAAGAACTACATGCATAATTCCCAAATTATATGAATCTGAGGATACAGAAGACACAAAATCATAGCAATAAATCACTATTACTCTTCTTACTTCAATCATCACAATCAAGGAGGGCTTTTTAAGTGCTAACTTTCCTCCAAATTAGTTCAGAAAGTCTCCAGGGACTAAGTTTAAGGCAAATACATACCCTCCAGCTGCTCCTAACATTCACCACTCTCCCTCTTCATCTCTTCAGGTTGGCTTTCCGGAATACCATCCTTCTTTATTTTTTCAAAGCTTCACCAGGTAGGTAAGGTTTCCATTATCTCTCACTTCTTGTAGAGATTTCAGAGACAGCAGGACTTGCAGTCTTTTACTGCAGATACCTCTCCTTAGGACCCAGGAGAGTTGGAACAGGTAAGCAATTTGTGTAGCGCACTCTATGAAGTTATAAAAAAACATCAAGGAAAGGCTTGACCCACAGCTTTCCTGAATTTTGACAGAATACTTTGTGATCCTGCTAGAACATGAAAGGATGGTAACTTAGTAAGAAGCAATTCGGAGATCAGTCTCCCAACCTCCCCCTTATTCTCTCGGGGAGGCTGTCATGAGACAGTTTCTCATCACCTCCCGGGTTGAGGAATGGAATTTTTGCCCTAACCTCTCAGAATAGAGCTGTAGACTAAAACCTCTTAGCTGCAGGCTAGAATTGGCTCCTTAGCAGTGATATATCCCACAACATCCATTGCAGTCCTCTGGCTTCTTGGTTTTGGTGCCATTCTTGTAGGTGTCTAAGGACAAGGGATTTGGGTTATTCTTCTTTTCACAGTCTATGTAAGTAATAAAAGAGGTTCTGAAAGAGGTTCCTTGTATTTTTACTGGCCAAACCAGTCAGACTTTGTTATTGGCTTTATTTTTTTCTAGTGTATGCTTGACAAATGGCAGCCTCCTGCTAAGGCTTGGCAACAGACCCACAGAAGCTGTAGCTACATAGAGGTAATAGCTTCCCATAGACCTCTCCCCAAGTTTCCCAGTCACGGGCTTACTTTGGAGGCTGAAAGTCATTAGCTTCACAGCATTTCCCTGCAAGCTTCAACTGCCTACCCAAGCCAGTGCTTCAGTCAGGCTGGTTAATGTGACCTTCTCTTTGATTTTCCAGCTCTCTGGAATTCTGGGGATTTTACATCCTCATCTCTTCCCAGAACCATGTAATGTCTATTTACTATAATAAATCTCTTAATGCTATCAATAATCCTACTGAATCCGCTTCCTTGACTTAATCTTGTTTGATAAAAAAAAGTAAAGTTTGCATTCAAATTAAAAATCTCAAAAAATGTTAATATGTTAATAGATAGAAGATCTTTTGTCTAGAAGAGATAGTCCTTATAGTTTTGGAATTAGGCCAGCTATCATCAATTGTGTTTTTTCTTATTTTTCTTTTCTCAAAGTTTAATAAATCCAACCCAAATATCTGGATTATGAGATAGCAACTCCCATTGAAAGCTCTTGTCTCTCATTCTAATTAAGTTTATTTCCAAAATGTCATTTGACCTATCTTTGTCTATATTTTTCCACTGCTCTAAAATATAGAGAATGGAAGAAGACTACTGCTCAAAAGCAATTAAGTAATAAAAATTGGGGAAAAATGTGGAAATGATTAAATCATATGAAATGAGTATCTACTTTTGTTAAATTGAAATTGTCTTCTCATATGGGGACAACTGTTCTGATCTGGGCACAGAACTCCATATACCAGGTGAATTTTGAAATCCCTTTTGACTTTGTAATGCAATAACATTGGCATAACAGAATTTTCTTAAAATTGTATATTTGTGTTAATACAATTGCAGTTTAAAAATAACTTTTATTTATAATATTTGTTTGGTTCTATATACTCTCTGTGACTTATGTAAGACAAATGTTATTACCTTTGTTTTGTAAATTGAAACACACCATGTCAATAGTTTGAGTGACTTGTATTGTGTGGCAAAGCTTGGAAGTGGCATTCATCAAAATGCATATGTTTTACTTCCAAGAACCATCTTTTAAGTAAGTTTTCAGATACTTGCAAGCTCAAAAGAGAAAATACAAAGATAACTTTGGTTTATCTGTGCCATTATTAAAAGTTAAAGCACACAGACTGTTTCTGCGTTGTGACCTTGAATCCTGATGGCCAAAGTAGATCAAGAAAGAACTATATTTTTTCCTCATCTAGAGATAATTGGCAACAAATATTTTTGACATTAATAACTTTTGAAAATTTCAATTGGCCCACTATTGCTGCCATTTGCAGTTATTTACGTTTTAGCCCAAATAACCTGAGACATTTTTTCCCCCTGGACTCTAAAACACGTAAAAGAAAAGCATTTACCAAAGGGTAATTGTGGCTAGACCATTAGATTTGCTCCGATAGGCTTGGTTTTCTGAAGCATGTATTATGTAACATTTCACAGAGCATCCTTATTTGAACATTAGATTAAACTTATTATTTAAACAACATTCTTGACACTTTTACTTGTTTAACACCAACCTTGCAAGAACTGATACATTTGGAATACTTAGAATAATCTGACTTTATGTTGTTTTTATATTTCCTAGTATGCCCTATTATACCTAATTTACTGAAGTAATGGTGTCAAACCAAATGTAGACCTTGAAATCATTTGTAGAACTTTTTCTAATATGTAGCCAAGGGAACTATCTTAGGTCTGGCCTCTGGAGGACAGAATCTGCACACATTTTTAAAAACAATCAAACAAAAAACACAACCTAAACTATTACTATCACAACCCCCAAAAAACTCCCTGAGTTATTTCTGTAATTCTGATGCACAGCATTATTTATAAACAAAAGTGTTGGCGCACAGTAGGCATTAAATAAATATTTTTCAATAAATAAACGAGTATTTAGCATTGATGTCAAGTCTAACCAGTTTTCTGTTAGTGATTCTTAGTACCCCAACTTAACTCTACCTGAACTTGCCCACAGCTATCTCACCGATTCCTACGTAGTAGGAGAAATCTCCTCATCCATTACCCTTAGATGAAAGCACTACCCAAGACATAGGATGTCCCAGCAGTTGAAATTGAGTACTATATGTTATACAACTGCATTTATTAAAAAAAAATTATTTCGTTTGTGTTATCTTGAGAATTATTGTGATCACCTCTCAATTTATTTTTTAAAATATTCAAAATTAAAATGATCAACTCAATTAGCTCTATGTTACCAAAATAAATACTAATTCATAAAGTCTGATTTTTGTCTTCTTAGGATTTAATATTTTTTCAATGTTTTTCTTTCTATGTTTAGTCAAATTGTAAGGTGCTATATTTGCCTTAGAATATCTTTTGTTTGTATCTTTAAGGCTGCAGCCTCTTTCTCATATTTATTTTCTAAAATTTAATTCTAAAATTAAGAAAAAATACAGGTGACTGACACTCTTCTCTTCATGAAGGTACATAAAGCATAATGAAGTGATGGGGAGTATATATTCACATTCAGAGTATATAGACTTCTGTATGATTAGGGAGAATAAAATATTTCTCTATTTAAATTTATTTTCTATTTGTCTTGACATCTTTTTTTTTTGTCAGACCTGATAATTTAGGGCATTTTTATTTATTTATTTATTTATTTATTTATTTATTTATTTTTATTATACTTTAAGTTTCAGGGTACATGTGCACATTGTGCAGGTTAGTTACATATGTATACATGTGCCATGCTGGTGCGCTGCACCCACTAACTCGTCATCTAGCATTAGGTATATCTCCCAATGCTATCCCTCCCCGCTCCCCTGACCCCACAACAGTCCCCAGAGTGTGATATTCCCCTTCCTGTTGTCTTGACATCTTATAAAAGATTAATTTAAAACACTAATGGGAATTATTAACAAGCTGCTAAAAGATATAACTCCTGAAATACATTCTCAGCTCCTCTAGGAAATCTTCAATTTCAATTATTTGAAGAAATATGACAGAAAGGGTCACAGAAATATCATCATCATCTAAGGAGACAAGGTGTCTGCTTTTAAAGGGCAAGATTTTAAGGCTAGACCAAAATGAACATTTTGAAAGTTTCTACTTTCCTGGGTGAGAAATAAATTTAGACATCAAAGCATACTTTCTTTTGTTCTGGAAAGATCTAATTTTTAAGTACATTTATTTAGTTATTCACTTAGTTCATTAGCCTATGCTTTTGATCAGTATTCTAATACCATGAAAAAAAAGCCAAATGCATATTCATTAGAGTGAAATAGTAAATATTCTGTTCAGTATTGTGAATTGAATATAGCTATGGCAGAATGCTGTTTCTGTGAAGTTGGAAAAATTTTATGGTCTAAATATGAATTTCTGCCTACTCATTGCTAAAAAAAGAAACGATAAGATTCTAAATGAAATAGAATTAACCACAGAACGGATGTAGCAGAAGAAGAGATTGGAACTAAATTACAGGACAATTGAAAATGTCTAGTTAGAAAGGGTAGAGGTAAAGAGTGTTTTGTGTGTGTGTGTGTGTGTGTGTGTTTGAAGTCCCAAAGGGAAGGAAAGAGAGAGTAAAAGCAATGTTTAAAAGAAGGTGGAAAGTATTTTCTGAAAATGAGGAAAAGCTTATCCACCTAGTCATGAATCACTGCAAAGAAAAACTAGGCACAACACATAGTAAAACTTCAGAAAGTAAAATATAAAAATAAAATATTGAAAGTGACTAGCAAAAAAAGACTTTTTAATCATAAAAGAAAAAATAAGGAAAACAATTGACAATAGAAAATAATGGAAGCTAAAAACAATGAAATATGATTTTTAAACTGCCAAAATAACTGCTAACTTTTTATTCTATTCTCACAGAGCTTCCTCTACAATAAAGGCAATATAAACATAATATATGGCAAACAAAAGCTCAGAGATTTGATTGGCAGAATAATTATATTAAGAGCATTAGTTAGGAAGTTCTCCAGGAAGAAGTAATTTGTAGGCAGAAACAAAGAAATTTAGGAACTAATACATAGCCCTAAATAAGATAAGGAAAATTACTGTAGACTTTATAAAACAATAAAAATGTGTTTCAAGGCACATAAATTATATGAATTATTAAAATACACGTAATCAATAACACAAAAGTATATTAAGGTCAAAGCTTTGTCTAGATAATGCTAAATGAATTAATTTATATTAGAATTTAATGAGTGAAAAATACATGTTGTCAAATCCAGGATATCCACTAAAAACTAGTAAATAATGTAAAACTATTGAAGTACTAGAAGGAAAATAATAAAATATTTACACAACTGAAGATGAAACAGGTACTATTAATAAAAGCAAATAGTAATATGGATATATTTAATGTGTTGGAAATAGTAATAGTAGTGACAGTAAATTGTACTGAATACCCAAAGTAGATGTAAAGGATGCATTACAGGACCAAAAGAAACTATAAGTAACTTAAAAGGCACAAAACTTAAATATAAAGTTGTAGAATGTTTGATAGTAAATTGATGAAAAAATATAAATACAAAAGTTAACCCAAGAAAGCAAAAGTAATTATACAATAACCAAAATAACTGACTATAAGCAAGGATTATAAGAGACAATATAAGCAATTTCCTATCCAATGTAAATAAACTTTTGAAAAATTTGAAATTTTATAACCTATTTTATAATATTATTTCAAAATATATAAAGAAAAATGGCATTTAAAGAGAAATAGACAAATCTTCAATCATAAAAAATTTAGCACAAAGTTTTCAATAGCATATAGTAAACAAAAACAATACAGAAGATCTAAGTAAAATTAGAAAACATATTTATTCTAATGACATATATAGAGCAATATTCAACAACTATAGAATGGTCATTTTAAAAGTGCAAATGTATCACAAACTAAAAGTGACAATTATTTAGAGAATGATTTCTGACAACAGTTTAAGCAACAAAATTATAATAATTATATAAATTTTAAAAATTCCCATATGTAAGGATATTTTTAAAATGTGCTTATAAATAACTCATACTTCATGAGTAAAATAAGATGTCACAGTGGAAATTAGAAAATATTTGAAGTGATATATTGTGAAAATATAACATCTCTATACCTTTAGAATGTAACCAAAATTGTATTTACGAGATAATGTATATCCTTAAATACCTGCCTAAGAAAATAATAAAGGTGAAAAATCAATGATCTAAGTAAACATTTAAAAACTAGAAAACCATTAATAAGAAATTAAACATACCAAATAAAAATGAGAAAACAATAAATCCAAAACAGAAATGAATGTTAGAAATCAAATACACACCATAATCAATAATAACAAATATTAATATTAAAGAGCTTAATAAGCTGAATACAACCTTGACAAGATGGGTGGGAGAGAGGAAAGAAACAGAGAAAGAGTGAAGAAGGAAATATTATAAAAATAAAAGATAACATACTCCAGATCTCACAGAATTAAAAAGAAAAAAAAGGTAGTCTAAAATCTTTGTGACAAAAAATTAAATTTTTTTCAATTGGCATGAATCTTGAAAAACATAACAAGAAGAAATAGAAGATCTGTATAACCAATATCTACAGAAATATTAATAACTCCAAACCCAGGTGGCTTTACCAACGAATTATTTTAAATAGTTTTAGTAGAAATAAGGTTAATCATAGAAAAATGTTTCCGGAAGGTAGAAAAAGTAAGAATGTTTCTCAATGTATTGTATGAAAGTAACCTGAAATGACCTTTTTTTAAATTAAAAAAAAAAAACTAAGTCTTTTCAAAGATAGTTTTAAAAAGGGAAGTTACAGGACACTCTTTTAAAAACAAATATAAAAATTCTACACAGAAAGATAATAAAGATATCAAATGTGATGTAAAAGAGTAATAGAAAACATATTTGAGTTTGCTCCAGAAGGGTCAGGTTGAAAATTAATCAATGTATTACATCCATATTTAGAGGAAAGAATAAAAATAATATTATAATCTTTATAGATGCATAAACAAAGCTTGATAAAATTCAACCTAAATTCATAATCAAAACTTTAAACTAGCAACAAATGGAAGGAAACTTGCTCAATTCAGAGTATCTGCAAAATACCTAAGTAAACGTCACAGTTAATACAGAAATTTTGACATAATTCCCTCAAATATCAGAAATGAGGCAAAGATGTCTGCTATCATGACTTCCATTTCACTTCATACTGCAAGTCTTAGCCAGATCAATAAGATAAGAAAAAAAAAAGTTATAAGGTTTGAGAAAAAAGTCAAACTGTCATCATTATATATAGTTGACATTATTGTGTATGAACAGTATGCTAAATAATCACAAAGTACTAAAAACAATAAATGAATTTAGCCAACTCACTGGGTACGAGACCACTGTGGAAATCAATTTTATTTTCATAGAAATTGTCTAGCAACAATCACCAGGAAAGCAAATTTTTAAAATGGTAGCATTTATCACAGCTTCTAAGAACATCTAGAAACAAATTTAATAAAAGAAATGTATTCTATGTTTCTTTCAATTATGTTTCATAATTCTATATTTAAAATTATAAAATTTCACAATAGACTCAAATAAATCACAATCAGAATTCCAGTATACACTTTTTATCAAAATTGACAACATTCTAGAATTTATATACAAATTCAAAATGGCTACATCTAGTTAAGATAAACTTGGAAAAAAAAAGTTGGGAGAGTTATATTACTATTTATGTTGGAGTTCAGGATCTAGAGCAAAGTCTGGTGAATTATAAGGAATCTTTTTGGGGGAGTGAGAGGGAGGATCTATAGTCCTTGAGAATTGGGCTCTGCTGGTGAGTTTAAAGAGAGGCACTTCGTCTGAGTAAATGACAGTTTCCTAATTCAATCAGTTTTACACCTTAACTGGAGAAAGAGGTGAATAAAGACCATGACAGTGGAGTGGATAACCTGAATGGATGTATTGCCGGAAGGTATCAGACATACCATCTATAGAGTAGAAAGGTTTTTGTACTCTTCTGAGAAAGCCAGGTTAGAGAATCGGGATAAAATTTTTGTTAAGTGGGAGATTTCAGTAATTTGAAATTGATATTTTTTCTCACTCAAGATATTATTTTAAGACTTTCTAAGCTTACAGCAAGATTCTGTTATATAGCAATATTCAGCTATAAACCACTTCTTACTATTATTTCTGAACTCCTTCCTAGAATGAATAAGGGGATAAATGATGCATCATGAATTGACTTCTAGCTTTAGATTTAAAAGTGACTGGAGAAGAACAAGAAAGGAAGTGTTCTATCTGTGTTTCCTGCAGAGGCAGTAGAAAGAGCTTGATTTGAAGATTCAGTTGGAACTGGACATAAATGAGCCTCACAATAGGACATAGTACCTGAAATGGCAAGATATATATTTACAGCATCATAATCTAGGTTGGAGATGCAGATTTACATACCAAAGACAAGGCTTACATAGATTGAATGTACTGTAGGATATGACACACACATAAAATTCTCTTTTGCTTTTTCAGATTTTTTTGTTTTATTTTTATGATTTCTTAACTTCCAGCTACAACTGGATGCCTACCAGTTAGTCAGGAAAAATATGTAGAAACTAGTTAATATAACTTCAAAGACACATATATTAAAGGCTTATTTTCAGTCATTTCTTGTTCAGGTATTTGTTCAGTACTATGCCTCAGGCATTCTTAAAGACACACTAAGCCATCCTTTGACTTCTTTTATCTGGATGACTCTGATACGAAGCTAGCACAGGATCAAGTTCATAAATCCATTAACCTCCAGAACCACGTCTCTAAGCCTGCTACTAACTGGAGGTGAGGCATCAGCAAAAACAAGTAGTTATGCAATGTCTGTTATCCTCTAAGTGCTGAGTTTTGGTGTTAGGATAGTGGGCACATCATATAGTTTTTTTCTCACTGAAATACAAATTCTAGTGGCAGATAGTAAGTTACTTCATGTAGTTTCTATTTCCTAATAATATTTGTGTTGGAATTCTGGGAGGTTTAAATAAATGTATACGTTGGAGAGGAGAAATTTAAGATCCTATACATATAGGTAAACCTCAATGGTATAATTATCCGTATAATAGGGTATCAATCAACTTTTATTGAATCCGTTAAAACATTCCATACGAAAACATCAAAGGCCTTTAACTTCATACGCAAAGAGGTTTTTAACCTCAGCTGTAAAGTTGTACATGACTATAAGCTGATTTCATTTGTTAATGTTATTTTAAAGTCTATGGGCAGGCAGGGAATATACTTGTTCATCAACACTAAAGTTTTCTATGTGAAAATGATAATGCTAAAAATGTTAATAACAACTAGCATTTATTTATTAGCTGGCAGAAACTACCCTTAAGAACTTATAAATTTTTATATACTTCTTATTGCCTAAAAAAGTACCTCATATATAATTGTGGCACATAGTATTTTCAAAAAATGGCCACAACAGTATTCCAGTTTTCACATGCTCTTCCAGAAATTTGCCACCTTTCCATCAAGAGTAGAGACTCTTTCTACTGTCTTTGAAATTGGACTGGACTTTATGACTGCCTCAATGAATAGAATGCAGTGGGTGTAATGCTGTGACTTCTGAACTGTGAGAAAAGGTGATATCACTTCTACCTGGATTGTTCTTGCTTTTGGGACACTTATCCTTAGATCTCATTCTTCATGTTTTCAGGAAGCTCAGGCCACATGGAAAGGCCACATGTGGATCTTTTGGCTAAGGTCTCAACTGACACCTTGCATTCACTGACAGAAGTATGAAAGAAAGAGACATCAAAGTATTCTTGTCCCCTGCCTTGCAGCCACCCAGCTGATGCTGAGTGGGCTGGAGAGGATCTATCCCTGCACAAATGGCAGATTTATGAAAAAATAAATGTTCCATTTAAGCCATAACTTTTAGGGGTAATTTGTTACCCTGTGTTCAATAACCAAAACAAATAGCTATACAAGTTCACTTCTCACAAAATGTATTTGAGCTGAGTACTTACTAGTGCCATATTAGAATCCTCATTTTACATAAGGAGTAATGTTAAGTAACTTTTCAAATGTCACATAATTAGTGAACGTGTGTAGTAAATACATTAGTAAATATGAATGCTCAACATGGACAGTCTGTAATTGCTAAAGATCTATTTTTTTAAAAAAGAATAAATATGAATCATTTCCCCCAGCTAGGCTGTTACGATGAAACCTTCTTACCTCTCACTTACATTTCCACATGCAGGCTTTGGGAGGATTTCAGCCCAAGATTTTAGTCTGCACTGAAGCTCTATGGTTGATGCTAGAAGAGAGACTGACTCGAACAGCAGTGTTGTGATCTATCCCTTGGCCCACATTCAGTTTCCAGGGTGTTCAGTTCTTTCTTTCCTTGATCAACTTTGCAATCTCTGATATCTCTGTGTCTTCAAGGTACTGCTTTACGTCATTGGCTCTGCTATGATGACTGCACTCCCAGTAACTCCTAAGGTACTGCCTGCTCTCTGCCTGCCAGAGCTCTCTTGGGAATAATGAGGTGTTGCTAGTCACTAATAAATATTCGCCAACAATTACATCTGCTCTACAACTAATGATTAATCTAATGAGTATCTCTTAACCTGTCCATTTTTTGTATTCTCCGATGGTCTGAACACAGAAACTTCTTATCTTATACATGTAGCTTAATCTTCATTCCAGCTTCCTCTACACCCTTCTTAGTTGGTTAAGTCCAATTAATATACATAAACATTACACACATTTCAAGTTATTCATACAAGGATGGTATTTTGTGAGTGAAAAAATGAGAATACATGACCTTTCAAAAGTGAACTACATTGAAGTACATGGAATAGAACTTATGAAATAATAAAACACTTTAAACACTATAGGATTGTAATGGAAAGATCAGAACAAATGCTGATCATAATAATACCCTTTATGATGAATATCAGATACATTAATATATATAATTATATTTTAAACCTCTCTATGCAGCTGTAAGCATTGAGTTTATATCAAAATATGTTAACCAATATACTAACAAATTTCCTTCAGATGATTTTTTTTGTTTGCAGATTGAACATTTTTTACCTGTTTAGAAAAAGTAGGAAAGAGAAATTTTGTTCTATGCAGAAAATGGAAAGTTGGGCTGAATCCTATAAAGCCCATGTCATTGAATTTTTACTTGAATTTTCTCTGGTTTGGTAAATGATAGAAATGACCACAATCTTTCACTCATTCCTGTTCCTAGTCTCTTTTGTAATGTGACTTTATAGCTTTTCACACCATGAGTAGCAGTATGGTGTCTTCCCCTGCAGTGCACCCTCTCCCACCCCCCAGACAAAAGTCTGGCTTTGCCCTGTAACTTGGTTTGGCCAATTGAATGCAGTAGAAGTAATGGTGTCTTCATTCCTAGCCTAGAACTTATATGCTTGTATGCTTCTGCTCACTGTCTTGAAATGTAAATCAGTAAAACATTATTTTCATACCTTCTGCCTCTGTGTAGGTTAATCTTAGTGGTATTGTCATTTTGTACTCTCTTCATCGTCTGTAAGTTGATGAAAATTAATTGTGATTTTTGCCATTACTTTCAATATTTGTCTGACTAAATGATAACTTCAAAGGATGAAAAGAAGAATTCTAATTATGCTTTTTAATGCATTGTCAGTTGATCATTTGGAAACAGTGGACTTTATTTTGATTTAATTTAAAATGTGACAAAAGCGACATCTTTGTTACAAATTGTGATGACCAATGTCTAATCATGTGCAGCCCAAGACGTAATGAAATAGTAGAGAGCCCTGAACTATGTCCCATAATGAAATAGTAGAGAGCTCTGAACTATGACTCATAATGAAATAGTAGGTAGCACTAAACACATAACAAGGGAATATCTGTTAATCTGATTTTAAACATTCATAATGTGGTATCAAGTCTGATTTTTCAAAAACAGGTTAGCCTACATCAATCATGTAGTTTGTTTTAGATTTGACTTCTTTTATTTCCAGAAAAGAGAAACAGAAAACACTCATAATTTTAGACCTAAACCCAAGTTACAACATTATAAGAATTTCTCAAACCAGGATTCCCTCTGCTTATTGGCTCAAATGATGCAGGTCTAATTCTTGTTTGTTTTTAGAGACAATGAGATTGCTTTTGCAACTCATGCATTGGTTGGAGAAAAAGAAAAGTAATGAGGAGTCATAGAAGCAGCACACTCATCCCCTTCATTAACCATGAACTACACCTTTTTTTAATTTTTTTTTTTTTTTTTTTTTTTGAGATGGAGTCTCATTCTGTCACCAGGCTGGAATGCAATGGCATGATCTCGGCTCACTGCAACCTCCGCCTCCCAGGTTCAAGTGATTCTCCTGCATCAGCCTCCCGAGTAGCTGAGACTACAGGCACACACCACCAAGCCCAGCTAATTTTTGTATTTTTAGTAGAGACGGTGTTTCACCATGTTGGCCAGGATGGTCTCGATCTCTTGACCTCATAATCCATCTGCCTCGGCTTCCCAAAGTGCTGGGATTACAGGTGTGAGACACCATGCCCTGCCTAAATTTTTTATTTTCTTTTATTTATTTATTTTGAGACAAGGTCTTATTGTGTCGTCCAGACTGGCATGCAGTGGCACAATCTCGGCTCACTGCAACCTCCGCCTACTGGGCTCAAATGATTCTCCCACCTCGCCCACTCAAGAAGCTGGTATTACAGGAGTGTGCCACCATGCTCATCTAATTTTTGTATTTTTTGTAGAGACACGGTTTGACCATGTTGCCCAGGCTGGTCTCAAACTCCTAGACCCAAGTGATTTGCCCACCTCGACCTCCTAAATTGCTAGGATTACAGGCATGAGGCACCACGCCAGCCTGAACTACACTATTCTTTATTTTGTTTGTTTGTTTGTTTTTCCAAAAATCCTTGATGTTATGCCTTTTCTGGATCAATTATCAGCCACACACTTCAGCAATGTGTAAGACTCTGTTATCTTTGTGTAGCACAAAATGAAGAAGAAACTATTTTAAATAGGAGATGTAAATAAGTATTTTCTAGTAACTTCAGAGATGGCTCTTAATCTGGTATGAGTTTACCAAACATGAATTGACAGACCATTAAAAACAGAGGCCACAATAGCTAAACCACAGCCATCTTTTCTCAAATCCCCACCTTTTTTTTTAACCATTCTCCCAGTTTTTCTCTTTTGACTCCTTGCCTCACATTCCTTTTCTCAAGAATACGGTTTGCAAACATTTTAACAAGTTTCATTTTTTCAAAACACTCGTAACACTTCATAGACATACTCACATTAAGATTTTATTTAAAGACAAAAAATATGATGCGACAAGAGAAAGAATGTTTGGACCCGAACTGCAGGTCTAATAAAGAGTCCTTATTGTCACAGAGACCTGTTCTCTCTCCAGGTTGAACCACCAAGATGTGTGTGATACATCTTGGCTTTGGGAGAGTTTAAAGCAGAAGTTCTCAGTGGATTTTTTATGCTTCTAATGTCACTTCGTCAAGACAGACTATTTAACGGGTTATGCCAGACTATTTAATGGGCTATGCCAGCTAAAAAATATTCATATACAAACTGGTCTTGGGAGTTACCAGGGGAGTTCCAGATTTTAAATAGCACATCATAAATCCCACTGCTCTTAGCTTTTCCAGGAGTTGAAGCCAGACATTCAAGCTTTCACATAATTAAGACTACAGTTTTCCTTGTCCAGACATGAATCACCTGTATCCAATACACCCTCCATTCAAGCACATGTTAAAAACTGTTTTTTTCTCCTACCATAGGAGAATAATGTATGTTAAATGTATAGTTAATTTATGTCTTCTCTCACTTCTGTATTCTTTGCTGTGTTTACCTTTTTCTACATGTCAACTAACTTAACTGCTTGCTTCCATCTTTTCTTCCTTGGACACTTACCAATCGCTAGTAGATGCTTAGGTTATTGAAATAAATAAAACATATTTCTGTCCTTAATCAGCTCATCATCTACTGTCCCTCTGTCTTTTAGCTTCTCACCTAAGGATAACATTGGTTAACAAATTTGGGAATAAGGATGTCAGGAAGATTTAGGATGCAAAGGGCTTTTCTCAGTGTTAATATGAAGATTGCTGTCCCTCTAATGCTACTGGTAAGGTTTAATCCTAAACCTCTTAGAAAAACACCCTTCATCGGAGACAGTGTAGCATCCCCATAATACTTTTATTAATAGAAACACTAAAATAGTAGTTTGACCCTGACAATACCTGGTGATGAAATTTGTCCTCTATTAAGCACATCATTACAGGGATGAAGGAGATAGTAAATTAGTGCTTATTTACTCTCAACTCTTTGCAGTCATTTCAGACACCTGTTTAGAATGACCTGATTTTTTCCTAAAATCACTCAAGATAGCCACCCCTCAGCAAGGGTAATTGATTTATTTCTCTTCTAAATTGAAGCAAGAAGCAATTTGTTGGATGTAGCCTTGAGCAAAAGCGAATGTTGAGTTGACCTGATTCTCCAACTATTTTTAGCATAACAGTGGATGAGAAGGGTAAATAAAAAATAAAAATAGAAGTTAGACACACACACACACACACACACACACACACACACACACACACACACACATTCCTGGTTACATTCATCAAAAGAAAAAGTTCTTTCTTAGTAATTCTAGCTAATTATATCTTTTATCTTAAGGATTTTTATAAACATACCTCAATTCATCTGACTCCTCTCCCACATTCAGTTATGCCATTTTGATGATTCTAAATCTCCAGTTTCTCTCATACCAATTGTCTTCTGCACTCTTACATTATATAAGTTCATTCACTCATATTGTGTTATCTGTAATAATATTCTAATATACTAATTTCTCTGTCAGCAACATTGTATCTCTTAATTCAGATTTTTCACTTTGCCAGCAGAAACGTATCTCTAAAACACAGATAGAAATATTTAAATTAATTTCTCAAAAAACTTCCATGGCTAAAAAGTGTATAAATAAAGTCAAAGCCCCTAAAGATATCTGCCCCTACTCTATCTTTAACCCACTCAAATCACAAGTAACTTGGAGCCACCCAATGTGACGGGCACGATGGTGAGCCCTCTTGATGTTTCTGTTTACTCTGTCTCTCCAAGTGGTTTCATGCTATCTCGGCTGCTCAGAGAATGCAGTGGTGTCTCTACACTATGTCCATCCAGACAGGCAAAATCAGTATCTTTTCCCCAAATCCTTCACTCTTTCTTTTGCTTACTAGTTCTTTTGACATTTAAAAAATTTCATTATAGAAATGTTCAAGCAGACATAAAAAATAGAAAATACTGAAATATACACTCACGTTTACCCATCTCCCAATTTCAACTAAATTCTCAGTGATGGTCAAAATTCACTTCATTTATGTCCTTCACCCACTTCCCCATCTCTACTGTTGGATTATTTTAGGGAAAATGTGAATTATTCAATATGAATTGTTTTCTAAGAGAAACTGTTGATCAACAGTTTGATTGCCCTGAAAAGCAGTTGAGCTAGGATAGGCAGGACAGGTTTTTGATCCGTTGCCCTTATTTACCAGTTTTTAGAATGATAAGAAAATGATGTGCTAGTAAAATTCTAAAATGACTAATTTAGTTGTTTTATTCTCATTTTTGAAATTATGGATTTGAACATATTTGATGAGTTTCAATTCATTGCAGTCATCATTGTTTGTGATATTCAAAGTGTCCCATCTTAGTCAGAGGCACCCTTTCAATTTGGCTTTTATTTTATTTTAGTACAAAACCAGGAGTATTTGATATATCCTTTGTCTTCTAGTATTATAATATCTTGTATATTTTCTGCCCCAGCCAAATCTATAATCAGATAATCAGCCATTTATCTGAGAAGCTCTGCTTGCTTTCTGTGAAAAATGGAATTAAAAGTCCTCATTGGATGAAGAGTGATGATTACTACTGGGCTGGAATATTGGCCCTTTTCAGTCATGAAGATAGGTAAATCTTTTTTTGAAGATAAAATGTTTTATAAATTGACACTGATATTTCCTATTTACATTTAAAACTAGAGAGGTTTTGATTAATTTTGCTTAAAAATATATTATATTATTTTCTTGTATGCTTGCATTTTCTTGTATGCTTTCTTGTCTTTCTTGGTTCTGCACACCATTAACATAGTTACTCATTTGCTTCATCCTACAATGTATATATAATAGTTTCATAACAGCATTACCAATATTGACAATGCAAATATTGTTAGTAAATAGTTAAAAATGTCATTGCAGTTATTTTTGTCTTTAGGTACAACAGGAAGGGACAGTGAAATTACTTCTTTTAAAATTTATTAAAAGTAATTTTTTTTGTGTGGTTAAGCTACTGAATCTATACACACACACACATATACATATTATAGTAACTCCCCTAGATAAAAAAGCGCCAGTCCTAATCAGCTGGTTGGCAGGTTAACCTAATATAATCTTGATAACTGAACAAAAATGACTGAGGTACATGGATTGGCCAAAGTTGAGGTAAAGAGTCTCACTAACTACAGATGAGCATTGAGAGAAAGGCAGGTCCTAATAAAGCCTGATGATAAGCATTTCAGTTAGGGAAAGAATAAGTGTTAGACTGAGAAAAAGATAGCTTGATATAAAGCTGGTATTGGCAGCATGGTATTGGTACCAAAACCGAGATATAGATCAATGGAACAGAACAGAGCCCTCAGAAATAATACCACACATCTACAACCATCTGATCTTTGACAAACCTGAAAAAAAGAAGAAATGGGGAAAGCATTTCCGATTTGATAAATGATGCTGGGAAAAATGGCTAGCCATACGTAGAAAACTGAAACTGGATCCCTTCCTTACACCTTACACAAAAATTAATTCAAGATGGATTAAAGACTTACATGTCAGACCTAAAACCATAAAAACCCTAGAAGAAAACCTAGGCAATACCATTCAGGACATAGGCATGGGCAAGAACTTCATGTCTAAAACACCAAAAGCAATGGCAACAAAAGCCAAAATTGGCAAATGGGATCTAATTAAACTAAAGAGCTTCTGCACAGCAAAAGAAACTACCATCAGAGTGAACAGGCAACCTACAGAATGGGAGAAAATTTTTGCAATCTACTCATCTGACAAAGAGCTAATATCCAGAATCTACAAAGAACTAAAACAAATTTGCAAGAAAAAAACAACCCCATCAAAAAGTGGGCAAAGGATATGAACAGACACTTCTCAAAAGAAGACATTTATGCAGCCAACAGACAAATGAAAAAATGCTCATCATCACTGGCCATCAGAGAAATGCAAATCAAAACCACAATGAGATACCATCTCACACCAGTTAGAATGGTGATCATTAAAAAGTCAGGAAACCACAGGTGCTGGAGAGGACATGGAGAAATAGGAACAATTTTACACTGTTGGTGGGACTGTAAACTAGTTCAACCATTGTGGAAGACAGTGTGGCGATTCCTCAAGGATCTCGAACTAGAAATACCATTTGACCCAGTCATCCCATTACTGGGTATATACCCAAAGGATTATAAAACATGCTGCTATAAAGACACATGCACACGTATGTTTATTGTGGCACTATTCACAATAGCAAAAACTTGGAACCAACCCATATGTCCATCAATGATAGACTGGATTAAGAAAATGTGGCACGTATATACTATGGAATACTATGCAGCCTTAAAAAATGATGAGTTCTTGTCCTTTGTAGGGACATGGATGAAGCTGGAAACCATCATTCTCAGCAAACTATCGCAAGGACAAAAAACCAAACACCGCATGTTCTCACTCATAGGTGGGAATTGAACAATGAGAACAGTTGGACACAGGAAGGGGAACATCACACACTGGGGCCTGTCGTGGAGTGGGGGAAGTGGGGAGGGATAGCATTAGGAGATATACCTAATGTAAATGACGAGTTAATGGGTGCAGCACACCAACATGGCACATGTATACATATGTAACAAACCTGCACATTGTGCACATGTACCCTAGAACTTAAAGTATAATAAAAAAATAAAATAATAAATTTGGTTTTGGTACATCCTTAAAATCATATTTTACTAGAGAAGGCCTGTTTGGCTTTTGATTATCTTCTAATGTCAATATTTTCTACAGACAATATAACCTATAATTTCAGTTTATTCTTTGATGATTTTCATGCCTTTTGTAGAACCATTTAGCATAGTTTGGCAAAATTGATCTACACCTTGCAAATTCAAATACACAGATCAACTTGCATCTGACAGGTAGGAAGGAAGGGGCATAAATGTGGTTCTGGTTGTTATGACAAGGTCCTGAGACTCAAAGTAAATGTCTGAATTTCCTTTATCCTAAAGGCCTCTTTTAATAGCCTTTAGTTATTCCCTTATAAATGAGGCAGCTTGTAGAAATAAATATAAAATCATTCTCTTTTCACTGTGTCTAGTTTTAGGCCTCACACATTGGGTGCTTAGGTTGATTTAGACACAAGCAGCCCAGAGCGCAGTGCTCATTTCCTAGGTGGAGAAGTTGATATGAATGAGGTGGCACTCTGTGCCCTAAGTCACTAGCATTCTTATCCAAGCTGAATAGCACAGGAAGCAGAGTGGAGGAGACATACACATATTAATAAAATGAAAGACTCAGACATGAATGATATGAGCAGACATAATCCATGTACAACTGAACTAAAGTCTAATTCCTCAAATAGCACATCTTATTGGTAAATTTAAAAAAATCTCTTGAGAATGTAAATGAGGTCCAAAGAATTTTAGAGGACATTCTAACATTACCCAGTACTATCAGGGGGAGGAAAAAAGTGCTATTTTCAGTAAAAATTAATAAAAGAGAGAATTGGCTTCAGTAAATATATTGGGGCAGTATGAGATTAGAACTTATTCTGGGTGCCTTCATAAATTAAAATGACATTTGGACAGTTTTTAAACTGGAGGAGTAAGCCTTGGTTTTTCACAAAGGAGAGCCTAGATAACTCTGGCACACAGCTGTGTAATTAACTGCAGTTTATGTATGCAAAATCAGCTCTGCCCTTCTACTTTAATACTGAAAAACAAAATTGCTACTTGGACCCAAAATGTTTAGAAAGGGAAAAAAGAGAATGGAAAGTGGAGTCTGGAGATGTACATGGAAAGGCACAGTAAAACAAGACTTTAAAACAAGAAGGTGGCATAAAGGTTATCACTGCAGCAATGTAGGGCTTTTTGTTTTTTAATCTCTTCAAAATTCCTCCTGAAAAAAACCAAACTTAATCAGAATTTGGACAAAGAAAGAAAGAAAAAACAAACAGGAAAAATGACAACAAATACATGAATAATATCATCAATATATCTACATAACAGTAAGTCCCACTAACCATCTTATAACATTCCAAGCAAGGTCAAATTAAAAATGTGCAGGAAAGACAGAATTAGAAAAATCTCCATTTTGACACCCCAAAAGCTATTAATTGTGGCAACATTCACCAGTAAGTAAATTATTCGAGAAAAGTTGGGTGAGGAAACGTAAGAAGAGTAACCAGGCTGCCCACACCTGAATCTAACTTTCACTTTAGTCACATTAGCATCAGGATAATTTTGCGCCTCCTGCTGCGATGTAATTTGAACCATGTAGTATTATGTAGAGCAGTCTTGTCAAAATTGGAACCTGATTTTAACCAACTTTTAGAAATTATATCCATTCTTGGCATATAGAAGGGGTAAAACAAGCTAAATGATGTTAAGAAAGAAAGCCACAGAAGGTAGGACACAATATAGGACCATCGATGTCATTGCTGTACTAAATCAATGGCAGGAAAAAAAATGAGTGAATGTATTAATTTAAGTTAAAAGAGACTGATAGATGATGATAGATAGATAGATAGATAGATAGATAGATGATAGAATAAGATAGATATGCGAAATAAATGTAAAGCCTAGGCTTTGTTTTAATACGTATTTAAACAAAGACGCTGTAAAACAGTATTGAAAAGACAAGCAAGGAAATATGGCTTTGGACCAGGTATTATATACTACCAAAAGACTGTTTCCATTTGTATTAGTTGTGATAATGTCATTGTGATTATGTAAAAAAGAGTACATATTTCAGAGTAATTTCTGACACCCAAAAAATACAAACAACCACAATTCAGGTGTAATTGAACTACAAATCAAATTCCACAAATAAAAAATCTTATTTGGCAAAACTGTCTCCCAAGAATTTGAGTACAGTGCTCATTCCCCAGGAGGAGAATTTGAGTAATTATGGGTATGTTTTAGTATGTGAGTAATTACGGGTATGTTTTAGTATATTTGAGCAATTATGGGTATATTTAGTATGTTTAGTAATTACGGGTATGTTTATACATGTGAAAATGACAGGGTGTCTAAAATTTGCTTTAAACTATTTTATCAAAGGAAAATGACAAGAAGAATAAAAGAGTACAAGTGGAAGCAAATATGAGCAAAAATTGATAGGTTTTAAATCTGGAGAATGTGTATTGCATTATTATTTCCAAAACTGTTCATTTAAAAAAGAAATTTAAAACATTAAACACATAAAGATAAATTTCAGCTGTTTTCTTCAACAAATATTTATTTAGCGTCATATTTGTGCCAGACCTGGGGATGCAATGCTGATCATCCAGACATAGGCTATACAGACATGGAATTTACATTTTACTTCAGCAGAAAGACCAAAAACCAGTTAATAAAATATTGCAAAAAGCTATTTGTGCCATGTAGGAAATAAACAGATGCTGAAATAGAGAATAATGAGGAGTACCATCTTAAAAAAATAAAAGAAAAATTAAACATGACAGACATGTGGGATAGAATTAGCACTCTTACAGAAAAGATATTAGGCTGAAACTAAAAGACTTTAGACTTTTTTTTTTTTATGAGAAAAGGGTATCCTAGGTAGAGAGAATGGCATTTATAAAATCTCTGTGCTGGGAAAGAATTTGGCTGGGCAAATATTTGAAAGGCCACTACTGGTTTTAGAGCTTAGTGATGAACCAAATGAGGTGGAAGAAGGAAACAGGATCTCATAGTTCAAGTAGCTCTCTTAAGCTTTTGAAAGGACAAATTTTTATTTTAGTTTATGTACAATAGGATGCTACAGAAAGGCCTTAAGAGAATGTCATTTTTCTTTTTGCATTTTAAGATTGCCAGAACTGCTGCATATTAAATAGTTTGGAAAATATACATTTACCTATGACTACGGTCAACTACTCAATAGCTATAGAGCCTGTATCACACAGTAAATGCTAGCTAAAGGTGCTATGGAGATACAAAAACCTTATGTTCCCACGAATTTCAGAACAGGAAAGAGAAGAATAGGAGAAAACTTGGAAACTTATTAAAAAGCAAATGCTCTCCAAACTCAAATTACAGTTTAAATTTTTAAGCAAGCCTATTTTTAGCACAAGAATATCACTAACTGGAATGAATGAAATAAATAGTTTGATTTTGGACAGTTTTAAAACGTATCTGTCTCCTGATTAAGGAGTACGACTATACATATCAAGGTTCTCCTGAATTGCAAATGAATAGTTTTAGAAAACGAGTTTACATATATATAGATATATATTTTTTTATTATACTTTAAGGTCTAGGGTACATGTGCACAACGTGCAGGTTTATTACATATGTATACATGTGCCATGTTGGTGTGCTGCACCAATTAACTCGTCATTTACATTAGGTATCTCTCCTAATGCTATCCCTCCCCGCTCCCCCCACCCCACAACAGGCCCTGGTGTGTGATGTACCCCTTCCTGTGTCCATGTGTTCTCATTGTTCAATTCCCACCTATGAGTGAGAACATGCGGTGTTTGGTTTTTTGTCCTTGCCATAGTTTGCTGAGAATGATGGTTTCCAGCTTCATCCATGTCCCTAGGATACATAAAAACCCTTGGAAGAAAAAGCAAAGCAAAAATAACAAAGCAAAACAGAAAAAATGTGTTTCTGATCCTTTTATTATGCTGAAGTAAATGTGGATGACTATTTTTGTTACAGTTTGTGCTAAATTACATGGAGTAATTTAGATACTGGTAGATACTTGTACTGTTTTCTAATCAAAGTTCTTTACATTATTTTAGTTCTATTTTTAAAGCATTTTGAGACTCACATTTGGAATATAACTAAGAGACAGATTTGCCTAGTGAAGTAGCTGTTTTAGACAACTGTGACTTATTTCTGATATATGCTCTACAAGCAATTGTGTTAGGATGACATTCATCAGAGATAATGGTAAGCTAAAAATGGCACTATCATATTTCATTCAAATAATCACAAAAGCATACACAGAAAGCCCTAATATTTCAGTCCACAGGAGCAAAACTCTCCAGTTGGCTTTCACAGCATAGATGTGTTTTAGCCAAAATAGTAGAAAAGAAGCAATGCTCAGGACTAATCTAGTCACATTGTTTATAATTGCATTTTGGTTGGTAGAAATTAATTTCAAGTCAATCTCTGCTTCTAGTTTCTGGATCAATATGACTACCATTATAATTTACAAAATGTGTTTTCTAAAGATGTAATAACATAGCAGGCCTTTCTGCGCCTGATGTTCTCACAATACATTGGCTAATTATTGAGTTAATTCTGACCATTTTAATCTGCATAAAAATATATCTATCCAAGCTAACAGAAATGACTTTGACAATTAATTCTAATGAGAAACTCCATCTTATAATCTTACCCTAAACTTAAACTTTTTGCTTTCTTTCTCCTAAAAAAAGGAGGAGAAGCCAGTATATCAAGAAAGTGTCCTTGATATGAATCAGAGGAAGATTTTCAAACATATGGAAACAAGGCAGAATGTTTATGATATGCTTGTCTGCCACCAAACTACCCTAATACTCTAGATATAATATGTCCAATTATTTATTATGTACATCTTTTCTCATCAGGAGAAAAGATATAACAAGAAAGCATAATCTTATTTTAAAAATCATGTTACAGCAGTCTAGCATTCACTTACCAAAGTCAGATTTTCTACAAAGAAGCCGTTTGAGCACAAACAAGGATAAAGTATTGGAGTGAGACCTAGAGATACTGCAAAGTGTTCCAGGCAGAGGGGAGAGCCATTGCATGCTTTGTTGGTGAAGGTACAAGTTTAGGAACAGTGAGAGGATAGGGGGTTGGCAGATAAGCCTTGAGCAGAATAAGTACAGGGGAAAATAAAAGATGAGGTCAGAGAGTAATTGTGAGTCAGATCAGGTAGGACATTGTAAAAAATAGTAAGCATCCTGGCTCTTCCTCCGAGAGAAACAGGGAGTCACTAGAGGGCTGTGGGCAGAGGAGTGATGTGATTGGACTTAGGTTTTAAACAACGTCTTCTGTAATGAGAAGAGAATTCAGGGGTGAGGGTGGGGAAGCAGTGAGACCAGTAAACAAGACCAGTAATGACATAATTGAGTTGTAGGGAGAAGATACAGCTATGAAGCTGAGAAGTGGTAAGATGGTGAACAGATTTAGTAGCACCCCTTGTGGTACCCTTGTGGGAAAAACAAATAGATGTGGCAGAAATGAGTTAATTTATGTGATTTACAGGAAGCAGATAAATAGATCACCTTGACCTAACTTAATAGCTCTTATCTCAGGGTTCTGACTTTGAACTTGAACTATTAAGTTGTGTTATTAATGACATATAATAGCAGAAAAAGCATGCTTATAAATTTTACATGTAAAAAATAAAAACAAATATGCTAACTAATATATTGGATTAAAACCCAATACATTTGCACAATCATAAAATTATCGTCCTGTAACTATTTAAATAAAATAACTGAAAAGCAGTAAAATAAATAAATCTTGCCAAATATAAGAATACCTTGAGTAAATAAACTGAGGTGTTTTATTTAACTTTAAACACACCATTCTTAAAGTATGAGACCTCATTAAAAAGTCAAATATAATCTTAGATCACTTTAATATATAAAATATATAATTATATTAACTAAAAGCAATAAGAGTAAAGTATGCTGTTCCAAATAAAGGTTTCATTTCCAAATAGCTGGGCTCAAAACTCCGTATTAACTATGATGCTATAATGCATGTTTTTGGAAAGATTTTCTTGGCCAGAAAATGATCAGCAAGCCACCTGCTAAGTATACATTTTTGTTTTTTTAAGTAAGACAATGTAAAAAATTAAAGTCTTAATCATAAGCACTTATATTGTCACATCTGAGAAGTTATGCTCTTCTATTGATGTTATATTTTGCAAAAGTTAATAATGAAGTAGAGCATTTTGGGTAAGAAAATTCCACATAATCTTCTGGATCCCAGAATCTTCTACATTTATTCTGCTTACATTTATGCTCTTTAGGCTGGTGAAATAAAAACCAACCCAGGAAAATCACAGGAGAAAAGCTATGGTCATGATAGCGAGCTTGGCTGTGGAACTGTTCAAGAACCGAACATGAAGAAGTGAATTTTTTGTTACCAGAAGTGATTAAGCAAAAGCAGAATTACTCATCTGACATGTGGGGACTGAGGCTGGAAGGCAGATCAGGTCTAGGTGGTGGGAAGAGATTGAAGCCAAGAATGGGTACCCCTCTTACCTTTTTCTTTTTCACACAGGATGTTGAAGTTGCGTCGTCTGCGTCTGCTGTGTGAAAAAGAAAAAAATAAATAAATTCCAGCAGCTTAAATTAATGTGTTTAAGTCTTTAAGGATAAGGCTGGGGGAAACTCAAGCTCTGTTTGTTTGTCGTTCATTTCCAAATAAGTAGGGCTCTTCTGGTAAGAGGGGTACCACAGGGAGAGTTTCCCAGCAGGCACAATAGTGGAAATAGAAGGCTGGCAACACTCTGGTTTGGTTTGGCTCAAGATCTCAATCTATAGCCATACTGTGAGGCTTGAGAGAACCTTCTACCTTTTCCACAAGGAGATCAGGGCTAAGCTAAATAATGGGCCTCTCCAAGCCAATGCAGATCAATGATATTACTACCTTAAAATCGATTTCAGAGTCAAAAGTTAAGAAACATCATACTGTGAGGTCAGAATGGAAGGGCCAGGTGAAAGTAAGTGAAGAGCAGGTAGCTATAACAGAGAAAAAGTAGTCAAAGGAGTAGAGTGAGTAAACGAGGATAATTAAATGTCTGAGCCTTCAAACAGTGGATACTCAACCATGTATTTTTATTATTTGAGGTGGGTCGTTTTCATTGTCTGGATCAGGATAGGCACAGGAAATTTGGGGGTGGGCAGGGGTAGTAAGCTTAGAGGCACCAAGCTTATTAACAACTATGAGTTTTTACCAACAGGGATCTCAAACTAGATGTAGAAATATCTGTACACCTGCTAAAAGAGTTGCAGCCACAAAGAGATACAGGATTAATGGAAAAAATTAATATCTACCAAATCCTGAAGATAATATTTTAAATAAATAGGAATTGATTCTTAAATATTATTTAGCAAAGTATCTACTTGTATGAAAGTATTTTCTCTTTTATTACTTAATTTTTAAATATATCATGTAAAACAATAGCAACAGTAAAAATATTTGTGTTTTATTATACTTTATATGTGCATTTTCAAATGTAGAAAGAAAAACTATATAAAATTATCTCCCAATTTCCTATTATTTTAGGAAAACCTGCCTCCTAGGCCAGAAAGTCATGGGTGTGGCACTTAATTACAGAATATTATTATTGAGCTAAAGTATGTAATAAAAAGTGAAAGACTCCTGAATTCTGATCTTGAATCAAAATATTCAATATGAGTAATAAAAGACAAATAGACAAAAAATATTACTTGTTGGTCAACAATGTTTTTATATAGATATGTCCTTAGTTATTATCTTCTTTTTGAGATATACTGCTGGAGTCAGGAATTTATTACAAGTACTTACTTAGGTTACAATTTAGATAGTAATAGAGATTAGAAGTTTTTAGGATTGTTATTATAATTTAGATATCTATATCACTCTATGGATATATAATATTCAGTATTTTTGCTGTAATTAATTTGGTTTACTTTCTAATTTTTAAATATTAGAGTAGGCACGGGCAAGGACTTCATGTCTAAAACACCAAAAGCAATGGCAACAAAAGCCAAAACTGACAAATGGGATCTAATTAAACTAAAGAGCTTCTGCACAGCAAAAGAAACTACCATCAGAGTGAACAGGCAACACACAAAATGGGAGAAAATTTATGCAACCTACTCATCTGACAAAGGGCTAATATCCAGAATCTACAATGAACTCAAACAAATTTACAAGAAAAAAACAAACAACCCCATCAACAAGTGGGCGAAGGACATGAACAGACACTTCTCAAAAGAAGGCATTTATGCAGCCAAAAAACACATGAAAAAATGCTCACCATCACTGGCTATCAGAGAAATGCAAATCAAAACCACAATGAGATATCATCTCACACCAGTTAGAATGGCAATCATTAAAAAGTCAGGAAACAACAGGTGCTGGAGAGGATGTGGAGAAATAGGAACACTTTTACACTGTTGGTGGGACTGTAAACTAGTTCAACCATTGTGGAAGTCAGTGTGGTGATTCCTCAGGGATCTAGAACTAGAAATACCATTTGACCCAGCCATCCCATTACTGGGTATATACCCAAAGGACTATAAATCATGCTGCTATAAACACACATGCACACGTATGTTTATTGCGGCACTATTCACAATAGCAAAGACTTGGAACCAACCCAAATGTCCAACAATGATAGACTGGATTAAGAAAATGTGGCACATATACACCATGGAATACTATGCAACCATAAAAAATGATGAGTTCATGTCCTTTCTAGGGACATGGATGAAATTGGAAATCATCATTCTCAGTAAACTATCGCAAGAACAAAAAAACCAAACACCGCATATTCTCACTCATAGGTGGGAATTGAACAATGAGAACACATGGACACAGGAAGGGGAACATCACACTCTGGGGACTGTTAGGGGGTGGGGGGAGGGGGGAGGGATAGCATTGGGAGATATACCTAATGCTAGATGACGAGTTAGTGGGTGCAGCGCACCAGCATGTCACATGTATGCATACGTAACTAACCTGCACATTGTGCACATGTACCCTAAAACTTAAAGTATAATAATAAAAAAAGAAAAAAAAATCCTCTAAAAAAAAATTAGAGTAGGTGAATTATAAGGTAATAAAAAATTTGTTAATAAAATTTATGAATAAGGCCTTGAGACTTTAATTATGACTACAATATGAATCCTTTTCATTCCTTGAAAGTCATTTTATGCCTAAATTAAAATATTCAATATGATTTCAGAAAAAAATAGACATAAGCCATTACTTAGACTTAATTAAAATCAAACAATTAGCATAAGCATTTGTCATTAAGTTCATTATATTACAGAGAAAGTTCTAATTCAATCAGCATATCCAGAGCCTTGGAATGATGCCTCCAGAGAAAGCACAGTCATTTTGAAGAAAGATGTTTGCCATTTAGATCATGTCTTTCCACTAGGGACTCACACATTAAAGGTTGACGGATGGGAGAAGGTGGGCTTTTTTCTAGTTAAATACCTATGACTTTATCATTATTTCTTTCTTCTCTGAAGAAGAAATTGAATTTCTCAGCTAGGCACCAAAAAATTCTGGGAAACAATCTATCTGCATTCACACAGATGTTTGTAGAATCCTCAGTCTCAATCAAGACATAAATCAAACGCATAGAGACAGGGCTTTCCACATTCTCTTGATGCATAAATACAGGCCACATGAGGGCAAGTGGCTAGGGTCATTATGGGAGTCAACACAGTTGAACTGGATAAAATTATGAGCAGGCTTGACCATTATGCAATTATGATAAAGATAAAATTATGAACTGAGAAAAAAGAATGAGAGGATCTCCCACAGCAAGGACTCATTTGCTGCTACATAATAGAGCAGCTCTGAATTTTACTGACTGTGATGGTTAATATTGAGTGTCAACTTGATTGGATTAAAGGATGCAAAGTATTGTTCCTGGGTGTGTCTGCAAGAGTGTTGCCAAAGGAGATTAACATTTGAGTCAGTGGGCTGGGAGAGGCAGATCAACCCTCAAGCTGGGTGGGCACCATCTAATCAGCTGCCAACATAAAAGCAGGCATGGAAAGAGTGGACTGAGTCTTCTGGGCTCCATCTTTCTCCTGTGCTGGTTGATTCCCGCCCTCGAACATCAGACTGCAAGTTCTTCAGCTTTTGGACTCATGGACTTAAAACATGATTTGCTGGGGGTCTCAAGCCTTTGGCCACAGACTGAAGGCTGCACTATCGGCTTCTCCACTTTTTAGGTTTTGGGGCTTGGACTGGCTTCCTGGCTCCTCAGCTTGCAGATGGCCTTTTGTGGGACATCATCTTGTGTTCACATGAGTCGGTTCTCCTAATAAACTCCCTTTCATATATCTATCTATCCTATTAGTTCCATCTCTTTAGAGAACCCTGACTAATACACTGATAGTAAAGAATAATCCCACCTATAGCTAAATAGAGGTTTACAACTTTTTTCTTTCTAATAAATACAGACTTGTAAAAGAAGAATCTACTGGGAGTGTATTATTCAGTGTTCTCCAGAGAAACAGACCAACAAAAAATATACCTATCTATCTATCTATACAGTTGTACATATAGATAATATAGATGTAGATTATACAAATAGACATAGTACAAACAATACACATATTTATTTTAAGGCACTGGTTCATGCAACTGAGAAGACTCGATGAATAGAAAACTTCCCAGAAGTCTGAGGATCCAGGGAAGAGCTGCAGTGCCAGTCCAAAGGCAGTGTGTTGGTCAAATTCCTTCTTGCTCAGGAGAGGTCTGTCGTTATTCTATTGAAGTCTTCAACTGATTGCATGAGGCTTATACATATTATGGAGGGTAATCTGCTTTATTCAATGACTACCAATTTAAATGTTAATCTCATTCCAAAAAATACTTTCATGGAAATAACTAGAATAATGTTTAACCAAATATCTAAGGTCCAGCCAAGTTGACCTATAAAGTTAACCATTACAGTAAGAGTGTGTTAAGCATGGCCAACCCTGCTCACATTAGCCCCTTAGTGAAAAGAAGAAAATTTCCAGAAGCAGATATAGGGTGAGACAAAACTAATGACTCAAGTGCAGAGTAGGAGGTGGCCTAACGGGCATAGTGATATTTTTGTGACAAATAATCCAGAGATAGGGTTAATTTGTCCTGCTGAAAAGCTGAATTATGGTATTACATCTGGTATTAAACTGTTTCTGACATGGTCTTTGAAGGAGAATAAACCATAACAATGCTGAAACTCCTTGTTTCAGACTTCCTTTGATTAATTTGGATTCCTCAGCACTCATGGTCCCCTGACCTTTGCCTCTATCTTGAATTTATCTCCCTTGCCCCATGCAAAAGAAGAGAATTAGGAAGCCTGGTGAACTCAGATATATCTTTTGTTTATGATATTCTCATGTGCTTCTGGTGCTCATCACAGTTTGTGAATAGAACTGATTGCCCTCAAGTGCCATTTCTTCTGCTTTCTGATGCTATTACAGTCTTTTTAGAACACTGGCCATAGGTATCAATTTTTGGTGTGAATATTGTGGTTACTGATTGTAAAAGGTATTTGCTGTGATTCTTAGTGACCCAATAGTCTTCATGAAATACACATAAATGCCTAGACATTGCTATAAAAACACATAGTGAATTAACATTTGGGGATATATTTTTAATTAAGTTTGGCTATGTAGAAAATTATTAATATTTTTAGGAAACAAGTATTTGAAGAATTGTCCATATAAGTCTCCCAACCCTAATCCTTCCTCATCGTCATAACCAACCTACTCAACTCCCTCCATAATAAAAGCATATATATGGTAAGTGACATATTTACTTTTTTGTTCTTTGAATTTCATACAACCAATGATCGATTTTTTCCTGAGCCAGTGACTAGGAGAATTATTTCTTTAATCAGCCATGTTGGGTATACATTTGGATTTAGATGCTTGATAATCATTTTGCAATTAGTCAAGGCACAAGCTGAAACGGGTGTCACTTCTAAAGAGCATACAACTGAGAAGCAAGTGTTAATATAAGCAATTAAGTCATATATAACTGTATAAAAAGACAGAACTTATTTTGTTTTGCTAGGATCTTCATAAAATGAAATTGGATGCCTGGTTCATGTTCTCAGGACTTACACAGTTATATATTCTTATAGCTTTAACCCTTTATAAACTTGCTTACAAAGTGCATGTTATTCCTTTTTCTTGAGTGGCAGGCAATTTTTATTACAGAAACAATCTAATCAAGATAGTTCACAGTCTTTGAAAAGATTATAGGTATTTACTATTATGCAAGTGTCTACCAAGTAAAAGAGATAGATATTGTTTTGGAAATAGGATTCAATATAATCTCTCTTCGAATAGATTTCTATAATTTTTTCATAGTTAAAATGAGACCAGTTCAAGTTTAGCCAAAAATTAAAGAATCTAATCAGTTTAAACCTCCCAATCCTACCATGAAACACGTTGGTAGATACAACACATAGAAAATTCCTTTATATCTCTTTAAGACCCTATGAGCTGAGGAAGAGGTTAAAAAATTATAAATTTTGAACATAGATTGCATCATCTCCCCTGCCTCTCATTTTAATAAGTGGGTCCCAGAGTAGTCCTATATATAATAAAAGAAGTCAATACTATAATACCTAATATCTGTTATTAGATATTTATCAAAAATATTCCCCTGCCAAACAACAATAAAAAAAGCAACAAAAACTGTTTTCTGATAGACTACCTCAGGCACAAATATTTCTTTTTTTTTTCCTTTTTTAAAATACTTTAAATTCTGGGATATATGTGCAGAACATGCAGGTTTGTTACGTAGGTATACACGTGCCATGGTTTGCTACACCCATTAACCTGTCATCTACATTAGGCATTTCTTCTAATGCTATCCTTCCCCTATCCCCCTACCCCCCAACAGACCCTGGTGTGTGATGTTCCTCTCCCTGTGTCCATGTGTTCTCATTGTTCAATTCCCACTTATGAGTGAGAACACGCAGTGTTTGGTTTTCTGTTCCTGTGTTAGTTTGCTGAGAATGATGGTTTCCAGCTTCATCCATGTCCCTGCAAAGGACATGAACTCATCTTTTTTATGGCTGCATAGTATTCCATCCTATAGATGTGCCACATTTTCTTTATCCAGTCTATCATTGATAGGCATTTGGGTTGGTTCCAAGTCTTTGCTATTGTGAACAGTGCTGCAATAAACATACATGTGCATGTGTCTTTATAGTAGAATGATTTATATCCTTTGGATAAATAACCAGTAATGGGATTGCTGAGTCAAATGGTATTTCTGTTTCTAGATCCTTGAGGAACTGCCAAACTGTCTTCCACAATGGTTGAACTAATTTACACTCCCACCAACAGTGTAAAAGTGTTCCTATTTCCCCACATCCTCCCCAGCATCTGTTGTTTCCTGACTTTTTAATGATTGCCATTCTAATTGACATGAGATGTTATCTCATTGTGGTTTTGATTTGCATTTCTCTAATGATCAGTGATGATGAGTTTTTTTTCATATGTTTGTATAAATGTCTTCTTTTGAGAAGTGTCTTTTCATATCCTTTATTCTTGCAAATTTGTTTAAGTATTTTGTAGATTCTGGATATCAGCCCTTTGTCAGATGGATAGATTGCAAAAATTTTTTCCCATTCTTTAGGTTGCCTGTTCACTCTGATAATAGTTTCTTTTGCAGTGCAGAAGCTTTTTATTTAATTAGATCCCATTTGTGAATTTTGGCTTTTGTTGCCATTGCTTTTGGTGTTTTAGTCATGAAGTCTTTGCCCATGCCTAATCTTGAATGCTATTGCCGAGGTTTTCTTCTAGGGTTTTTATGGTTTTAGGTCTTATGTTTAAGTCTCTAATCCATCTTGAGTTAATGTTTGTAAAAGGTGTAAGGAAGGGGTCCAGTTTCAGTTTTCTGCATATGGCTAGCCAGTTTTCCAAACATCATTTATTAAACAGGGAATTATTTCCCCATTTCTTGTTTTTGTCAGGTTTGTCAAAGATCAGATGGTTGTCCTCTCTCACCACTCCTATTCAACACAGTATTGGAAGTTCTGGCTAGGGCAATCAGGCAAGAGAAAGAAATAAAGGGTATTCAAATAGGAAGAGAGGAAGTCAAATTGTCTCTATTTGCAGATGGCATGATTGTATATTTTGAAAATCCTACCATCTCAGCCCAAAATCTCTCTAAGCTGATAATCAACTTCAGCAAAGTCTCAGGATACAAAATCAATGTGTGCAAAAGTCACAAGCATTCCTATACACTAATAATAGACAAACAGAGAGCCAAATCATGAGTGAACTCCCATTCTCAATTGCTACAAAGAGAATAAAATACCTAAGAATGAAACTTACAAGGGATGTGAATGATCTCTTTAAGGAGAACTACAAACCACTGCTCAAGGAAATAAGAGAGGACACAAACACATGGAAAAATATTCCGTGCTCATGGATATGAAGAATCAATATTGTGAACATGGCCATACTGCCCAAAGTAACTTATAGATTCAATGCTTTCCCTTCAAGCTACCACTGACTTTCTTCACAGAATTAGAAAAAAAACTACTTTAAATTTTATACCAAAAAAGAGCCCATATAGCGAAGACAATCCTAAGCAAAAAGAACAAAGTGGGAGGCATCATGCTACCTGACTTCAAACTATACTACAAGCCTACAGTAACCAAAACAGCATGGTACTGGTACCAAAATAGATATAGGCCAAAGGAACAGAAGAGAGGCCTCAGAAATAATGCCGCACATTTCAGGCACAAATATTTCACTATTATTTGTATTATTTGGCTAAATGTAAAGAGAATCTCTTTTACAGCAAACTATTTTTTTCTTTTTTTGGAAAGGTTGAATTCAAAACTGTTTTCATTGTGTGTAATTACTTTACTAGGTAATTTTTCAATTAAAAAAATTTGAGATTAGATAAAGCTCACACCTAAAATTTAATAGAGATTGGAGAACAGAGAAAAATATTTGAATTCCAATTGAACCAGGAGTACTTGTCATCAGTGCTTGGGAAGTAATCTATGGGTAGATATAGTGGTGGGGATGGAGGATGAGAGAATCACCTTATTTAGATCCTTGATACTCAGAGAGTGGCCCTTGGCTACCATCATCTACAAACTTGTTAGAAATGCAAAACAACAGGCCTCACACAAGATTTACTGAAATCTAATCTGTATTTTAACAGGATCTCAAATTCACAGGAACATTAATGTCTGAAAATGCTGATCTACACGACAATTTGATCCAGAGCTAGCCTGGCTCTATTGCATTTGAATAATGAGTTTTGACTTTCCATGGTGTGCAAATTCTAATACAGTGAAATGATTTTGATGGGATGATTGGCCACAGCTCATGAACAGTGCCATGAGCAACACAGACAGAAATTTACAGATTTGCTGCCATTACAATTTGTGCTGAATAACATCAATTAGATATTTTTTGCAGTCATTTTGACTGAAAACGCAGGCAGATTAGCATAAAAACATGGGAACAGGCCGGGCACAGTGGCTCACTCCTGTAATCCCAGCACTTTGGGAGGCAGAGGTGGGTGGATCACAAGGTTAGGAGCCCAAGGTCAGCCTGGCCAATATGGTGAAACCCTGTCTCTACTAAAATACAAAAATTAGCCGAGCATGGTGGCGCATGACTATAGTCCCAGCTACACCAGAGGCTGAGGCAGGAGAATCACTTGAACCCGAGAGGTGGAGGCTGCACTGAGCCAAGATGGTGCCACAGCACTCTAGCATGGGCAACAGAGCAAGACGTCATCTCAGGAAAAAAAAAAAACAAAAAAAAAAAAAAACAAAAAGGGAATAAGAACTATTTAGTTCAGAATAAAATATTTTATGACTTGAGTAAGGTATATAAGCATTTTGCACTTCAATTCCCATTTTTATAATTCAGGGAGCATAATGCCTATTTTGGAGAATTGGCTGAAAATTTAGATAAATTATGAAAAATTTATTGGTATGCATCCAAAAGCATATTTGGGTTTCCTGTTGGTATGTTTGTATCCTATAAAGTTACACTTATTTGTTACATAGTTTTATATATATATATGTGTGTGTGTGTGTGTGTACACACACATATATCTCCCATATACAAATCCTATATAGTTAGAATATATATGCATGTATATGCATATATTTATACAAATTTTATAGAGATATTCTATATAGTTGGGATATATACATGTATGTTTGTATGTATATGTGTATATATTTGTATATGCATAAATACATATTCTACATATTTGGGATAGGATATGTATTTGTGTGTCTCTTTATATGTGTATGTGTGTATGCATTAATTTTCTCTGACTTAGAGGTTCAAAAAATCACAAATCCTCTCTTAATTTTTTGATATTAATTATAAACACTGACCTTCTATTATTTTATCTCCCCTACCACATAGTGACTCTTAATTATATTGTTTTGTATTAATTTATGCTACTTCCCCACCATATCATCAGCTAGAAAACAGGAACAACTTCTGTTTTAATACTTTTGGCTGTATAACAAACCATCTTAAAATTTAGTAGCATAAAACAATGACTCTTTTAGTTGTCTACATTTCCGTGGGTCAGGAATTTCAGCTGAGCTACTCTCAATGTTTTTTTGTTTGTGTGATTAATTTTGACAGTTTTGATTGGATAGAAATACCTAACGTAGCCCCCATCCGATTGGATTCAGTACAAGGATGGCCTAGACTGAGGTCCAAGAAGCCTCTCTCATGTCTGGGGCCTTGCTGTTATCAGCTGGGGCAACTCATTTCTCTTGCTCATGGTGTCTTTCCAAATGTTATCTCATCCACCAAGGACTATCCACACATCCCATCTCTATGAAGATAGTCTTGGCATCCTTATAGTATGATTCCTGGCTCTATAGGCTAGGTTTTTAAAAGTAAAAATCAAAACAAACAGAAAAAAACACACAGAAATTGCCTAGTCTTATTAATGTTTAGGGCTGGAACTGAATGGGATCATTTCATTCACATTTCATTGGTAAAAGCATATCACAGGGCCAGTAGCGACTCAAAGTGAGGAAACTGCAGGGCATGAGTACTAGAAAGTGTGGTTCATTGTGGGTTACAAATACAACACACTACACAAATATTTTATGGCATTATAGAAGCTTAACGCTTTTAGACATAAAGAATATTTACATAAGGAAATGTGGATAAAACAGAAGGAAACAACAGAAAGCTAAATGTTTAGTTAAGTTATTCCAGCACACGTAGAAGGATTACATTGGAGATAATATCAGTTGGTACATAGTCCATTGGAGTTCCAGGATAATATAGAAGAAATGATATGGCATGTTTACCAAAACTTAGAAGTCCGTTTCCATCTCAAGTTGTCCAGAACCCATTATCGGAATTGACAATGTTTTCCCGAAGTATAATCTGTATAACAATAGTTCTCTAAAATTCTATTTTAAAAAAAATAAAATTAAAAAAAGGGTGCTGGAATAAATAAGTGGCCCAAAAGGCATGAAAACATATGTATTATATTTATTTAACATCATCATATAAAAATTACATCAATGAAGGAAACCCATTAACCTTGATTTCACTAGAATTCCCAAGACTTTTTCCTTCATATAACTGAATAGCAATCTAAAGAAAATACTTCAGGAAATGTTACGATAGGTTTTACACCAAAATAAACTTGGAAAGTAAATTTTCACCAAGAGCCCTAGGGTTTAGTCCAACTCTAAGATTTTAGGGTTTTTTTCCTTGTAGTAGCTAGAGAACTTTGTCACGTACATTATTATAATTTTTTTTCCATTTTTCACTTTTCCTCTTTTTCTTGTGGAAATTCTCATTATTAATATTATTTTTCCTTAGGAGGAGTCAAAGTAGATACAAAATTTTGTGCAAATTATCCTCCTTTGAGGGGTCAACAAATGGCCCCATTTCTTGCTGTGCTCACCTGTTCCTCCGTATCCCATGGTGTTTACTCAACAGGGAAGTTCCTCTTGGCCCCTGAAATTGGCTATCTGCAGTAGACAGAATGAATGTGGAGTACTACTAGAAATATTTTACACTATAATGTGCCAAAACTGTATTGTCAGCCTGCATGCCAGATATTAGGCTATCCCCTCCTGCTGCCAGTGTGCACTTCCCAGTGATGACTTCATGAGAGTAGAAGCAGGTGAGGTGGGGCAAGAGGAGGGAATCACACCAGCATGCCTCAGTGGCTTTCTTGAACCTAGTGCGAGCTTGCCGCACTCCCTTAGTGCTGGCTTCTGCTACTGGTGGAGGTTAAAACGGAGACAGACAGATGATTGTTCCCAGCTTCTCATTCCTCACTATAATAGGATTGAGTATGCATCCTTACCTGTTGCGTGAATCTTGCCTATAGGAGAAGCATTCATGCTCACTTCATTGACTACGGCTGTGATCATGTGACAGGCTTTGGCCAGTGGGAAGTAAGTGAATATTGTACTTACTGAATCCAAGCCAAAGTTTTCCACGTAGTTCTATAGGTTGACTGAGGATCCCCTGTTCCTCCGCCACACCCTGGAGAAAACATGTCCCAAATGGTGAATTTTCCTTCAGCTTGAGATAAGAATACCTGTAAGAACATGAAACCAATCCCAGATGAGCTTAGCAGAGCTGAGGCGACCTGCAGCCAACCCACAGCAGACACACAGCCCACAAATAATTAAACAAGAAATAAATGTCCAAGTTACAGAGACAGTTTACCAAAAGATACCTAATTCAAGAAACATGAAAGTTACACATCAGTCCATTTAATAAGACTTCATGAAGGCATTGAAGCTCATACACATGTTAGAATAAGCAAAAGTTCATATTCCCCTAAGAATATTTGTACCAAAGAGGAGCAAGATAGCATAGAAGAGATATCTATGGCACCTGGACAAGCCACTCTCAAAGCTATGTGTGGGGTAGAGAGCATGGCCACATGACAAAATTTGATTTGGTTATTTATTCACATATCACCCCTCCATTAACACCTTCTCACTTCTAATTCACTTCTGATATTTCCAACCCAAATCCAAAGGGTTGAACTACTCACTTGAATTAGGTCTGTTGTTTCCTTTGGATAAACCTAATTAAAAAGAAAAGGGTGGTCACTTTTCAACAATGAAGATTTATTGTGAATAAATCTATCAGTAATGGTACTGATAATGATTCAATTCATCTCATATAACTTGTAAATGCACCTACTACGTGTGAATAAATTAATATAATTAAAGAGTGTCTTGAATTCTTTGAGAAAAGCAGTCTTTATTTCAAACAGAGATAGAGGTAACAATCCAATTTCAAAAGAATACAAATGTGTGACTATTTGTGAAAAATAATAATGTAAAATGCTTGTGAAATGATAAATTCCTATGGGGTAGCTATGAAACTCCCGCTTGAAACTCATGAGGAACATTGCTCACCACTTCACTGGCTGAATTTGTCTCACACTGTCTCAAGCCAAAGGTTCGGCTTTTACTGAAGAGCGATGTCTTCTCAACATATGAAATGTTAATAACCCCTGCAGTAGGAGACTAACACTTATCTAGGAAACACTAAAAGTTTCTCAATATTCTCCTCTTTCAGCATATAAAAAAGATGGTTTTGATCTCAAGGAACTTAGGATTGAAAGCACAGTGTATGATTCTGACAGACTCCCTGAAAACTTAACCATTTTCAAACACTCAGATATACAGGGATATTTCTTGCTGTAAATACTACATCTCAATAAAATTAGCAAAATCAGAAGGGATTGTTGCAGAACAATACCACTTTTTAAAAAATAAAAAAATGTTGATTTTGACACTTTGAAAATAATAACATCAAAGGAAATTCTGAATGGGAGCAAACTCTGAGATGATTACGTGAGGGTTATGCAAAGTTAGTTAGGTTAGTGAGGTTATGTGAAGCCCAATAGCTTGCCTAGCAAATAGTACAAATCACATGGTATTCAATATGCAATATGAATTATATATCTACTTCAACAGTATAAGCACCATTAAAAAATTAAAAGATATATTTCTTTTGTTTGTTTTGTTTTTTGTTTTTTTCTTTATTTTATTTTATTATTATTATACTTTAAGTTGTAGGGTACATGTGCACAATGTGCAGGTTAGTTACATATGTATACATGTGCCATGTTGGTGTACTGCACCCATTAACTCGTCATCTAGCATTAGGTATATCTCCTAAAGCTATCCCTCCCCGCTCCCCCTACCCCACAACAGTCCCCAGAGTGTGATGTTCCCCTTCTTGTGTCCTTGTGTTCTCAGTGTTCAATTCCCACCTATGAGTGAGAATAGGCGGTGTTTGGTTTTTTGTTCCTGCGATAGTTTACTGAGAATGATGATTTCCAATTTCATCCGTGTCCCTACAAAGGACATGAACTCATCATTTTTTATGGCTGCATAGTATTCCATGGTGTATATGTGCCACATTTTCTTAATCCAGTCTATCATTGTTGGACATTTGGGTTGGTTCCAAGTCTTTGCTATTGTGAATAGTGCCACAATAAGCATACGTGTGCATGTGTCTTTATAGCAGCATGATTTATAGTCCTTTGGGTATATACCCAGTAATGGGATGGCTGGGTCAAATGGTATTTCTAGTTCTAGATCCCTGAGGAATCGCCACACTGACTTCCACAATGGTTGAACTAGTTTACAGTCCCACCAACAGTGTAAAAGTGTTCCTATTTCTCCACATCCTCTCCAGCACCTGTTGTTTCCTGACTTTTTAATGATTGCCATTCTAAGTGGTATGAGATGGTATCTCATTGTGGTTTTGATTTGCATTTCTCTGATAGCCAGTGATGGTGAGCATTTTTTCACATGTTTTTTGGCTGCATAAATGTCTTCTTTTGAAAAGTGTCTGTTCATGTCCTTCACCCACTTGTTGATGGGGTTGTTTGTTTTTTTCTTGTAAATTTGTTTGAGTTCATTGTAGATTCTGGATATTAGCCCTTTGTCAGATGAGTAGGTTGAGAAAATTTTCTCCCATTTTGTGTGTTGCCTGTTCACTCTGATGGTAGTTTCTTTTGCTGTGCAGAAGCTCTTTAGTTTAATTAGATCCCATTTGTCAATTTTGGCTTTTGTTGCCATTGCTTTTGGTGTTTTAGACATGAAGTCCTTGCCCATGCCTATGTCCTGAATGGTAATGCCTAGGTTTTCTTCTAGGGTTTTTATGGTTTTAGGTCTAACGTTTAAGTCTTTAATCCATCTTGAATTGATTTTTGTATAAGGTGTAAGGAAGGGATCCAGTTTCAGCTTTCTACATATGGCTAGCCAGTTTTCCCAGCACCATTTATTAAATAGGGAATCCTTTCCCCATTGCTTGTTTTTCTCAGGTTTGTCAAAGATCAGATAGTTGTAGATATGTGGCGTTATTTCTGAGGGCTCTGTTCTGTTCCATTGATCTATATCTCTGTTTTGGTACCAGTACCATGCTGTTTTGGTTATTGTAGCCTTGTAGTATAGTTTGAAGTCAGGTAGCATGATGCCTCCAGCTTTGTTCTTTTGGCTTAGGATTGACTTGGCAATGAAGGCTCTTTTTTGGTTCCATGTGAACTTTAAAGTAGTTTTTTCCAATTCTGTGAAGAAAGTCATTGGTAGCTTGATGGGGATGGCATTGAATCTGTAAATTACCTAGGGCAGTATGGCCGTTTTCACGATATTGATTCTTCCTACCCATGAGCATGGAATGTTCTTCCATTTCTTTGTATCCTCTTTTATTTCCTTGAGCAGTGGTTTATAGTTCTCCTTGAAGAGGTCCTTCACGTCCCTTGTAAGTTGGATTCCTAGGTATTTTATTCTCTTTGAAGCAATTGTGAATGGGAGTTCACTCATGATTTGGCTCTCTGTTTGTCTGTTATTGGTGTATAAGAATGCTTGTGCTTTTTGTACATTGATTTTGTATCCTGAGACTTTGCTGAAGTTGCTTATCAGCTTAAGGAGATTTTGGGCTGAGACAATGGGGTTTTCTAGATATACAATCATGTCATCTGCAAACAGGGACAATTTGACTTCCTTTTTTCGTAATTGAATACCCTTTATTTCCTTATCCTGCCTAATTGCCCTTGCCAGAACTTCCAACACTATGTTGAATAGGAGTGGTGAGAGAGGGCATCCCTGTCTTGTGCCAGTTTTCAAAGGGAATGCTTCCAGTTTTTGCCCATTCAGTATGATATTGGCTGTGGGTTTGTCATAGATAGCTCTTATTATTTTGAGATACGTCCCATCAATACCTGATTTATTGAGAATTTTTAGCATGAATGGTTGTTGAATTTTGTCAAAGGCCTTTTCTGCATCTATTGAGATAATCATGTGGTTTTTGTCTTTGGTTCTGTTTATATGCTGGATTACATTTATTGATTTGCATATATGGAACCAGCCTTGCATCCCAGGGATGAAGCCCACTTGATCATGGTGATTAAGCTTTTTGATGTGCTGCTGGATTCGTTTTGCCAGTATTTTATTGAGGATTTTTGCATCAATGTTCATCAAGGATATTGGTCTAAAATTCTCTTTTTTGGTTGTGTCTCTGCCCGGCTTTGGTATCAGGATGATGCTGGCCTCATAAAATGAGTTAAGGAGGATTCCCTCTTTTTCTATTGATTGGAATAGTTTCAGAAGGAGTGGTACCAGTTCCTCCTTGTACCTCTGGTAGAATTCGGCTGTGTATCCATCTGGTCCTGGACTTTTTTTGGTTGGTAAGCTATTGATTATTGCCACAATTTCAGAGCCTGTTATTGGTTTATTCAGAGAGTCAACTTCTTCCTGGTTTAGTCTTGGGAGGGTGTATGTGTGGAGGAATTTATCCACTTCTTCTAGGTTTTCTAGTTTATTTGCATAGAGGTATTTGTAGTATTCTCTGATGGTAGTTTGTATTTCTGTGGGATCGGTGGTGTTATCCCCTTTATCATTTTTTATTGCATCTATTTGATTCTTCTCTGTTTTCTTCTCGATTAGTCTTGCTAGCAGTCTATCAATTTTGTTGATCCTTTCAAAAAACCAGCTCCTGGTTTTTTAATTTTTTGAAGGGTTTTTTGTGTCTCTATTTCCTTCAGTTCTGCTCTGATTTTAGTTATTTCTTGCCTTCTGCTAGCTTTTGAATGTGTTTGCTCTTGCTTTTCTTGTTCTTTTAATTGTGACGTCAGGGTGTCAATTTTGGATCTTTCCTGCTTTCAGCCCAGAATTTCATATCCAGCCAAACTAAGCTTCATAAGTGAAGGAGAAATAAAATACTTTACAGACAAGCAAATGCTGAGAGATTTTGTCACCACCAGGCCTGCCCTAAAAGAGCTCCTGAAGGAAGCACTAAACATGGAAAGGAACAACTGGTACCAGCCACTGCAAAATCATGCCAAGTTGTAAAGACCATCGAGGCTAGGAAGAAACTGCATCAACTAACAAGCAAAATAACCAGCTACCATCATAATGACAGGATCAAATTCACACATAACAATATTAACTTTAAATGTAAATGGACTAAATGCTCCAATGAAAAGACACAGACTGGCAAATTGGATAAAGAGTCAAGATCCATCAGTGTGCTGTATTCAGGAAACCCATCTCACGTGCAGAGACACACATAGGCTCAAAATAAAAGGATGGAGGAAGATCTACCAAGTAAATGGAAAACAGAAAAAGGCAGGGGTTGCAATCCTAGTCTCTGATAAAACAGACTTTAAACCAACAAAGATCAAAAGAGACAAAGAAGGCCATTACATAATGGTAAAGGGATCAATTCAACAAGAAGAGCTAACTATCCTAAATATATATGCACCCAATACAGGAGCACCCAGATTCATAAAGCAAGTCCTGAGTGACCTACAAAGAGACTTAGACTCCCACACAATAATAATGGGAGACTTTAACACCCCATTGTCAACATTAGACAGATCAATGAGACAGAAAGTTAACAAGGATACCCAGGAATTGAACTCAGCTCTGCACCAAGTGGACAGAACTCTCCACCCCAAATCAACAGTATATACATTTTTTTCAGCACCACACCACACCTATTCCAAAATTGACCACATAGTTGGAAGTAAAGTTCTCCTCAGCAAATGGAAAAGAACAGAAATTATAACAAACTGTCTCTCAGACTACAGTGCAATCAAACTAGAACTCAGGATTAAGAAACTCACTCAAAACCGCTCAACTATATGGAAACTGAACAACCTGCTCCTGAATGACTACTGGATACATAACGAAATTAAGGCAGAAATAAAGATGTTCTTTGAAACCAACGAGAACAAAGACACAACATTCCAGAATCTCTGGGACACATTCAAAGCAGTGTGTAGAAGGAAATTTATAGCACTAAATGCCCACAAAAGATATATTTCTTTACCGCAGTTATTTTCAGCCCTATCATCATCATCATCATCATCATCATCTTCTTCTTCTTCTTCCTCTTCATTGTTATCACAATGTCAGTGGTTGCCTATTATGTTGTAAAAATCTATGTGATGCTATAAATATGTAATATTGTATAGCATAAAATTTTCCAATACAGACATATATATATTTCTCAAAATTTATTTATATTCGAATATTGATTTTATACTGAAAACATTTGAAATTAAAAAATTCTGAACCAGTGTCAATTTTGAACTTTTAAACTTTTTATCTAATTGATTGTCTTGATTTCAATATGATGCTTGCATGTTCTGTCAAATTCATATGAATTCATAAGTTTAGCCAGTATTGAATCATAATACATAATCAATGTGCTTAAAAGGAATATAGTAAAATGTCTGAAAACACAAAGAAACAAGGGTAAAACCAGTACATAAATTCAGACAGGAAACAACCCCATAGCTATAATTATTAGTGAAGTCTCATTGGAGGCTTAAGTTAGACATTGGAGACGGGAAATTATGTAAATAGGTAAAGAGAAAGAGGTGAATGTTCCAGGCTATAGTTGCAGTTTGATCAAGGGTATAGAAAAGTAACAAATAGGACAGAGAACAATGAGGAAACATCAATCTAGCTAAATCAGAGAAATCAGGAAACAGAACAGTAGAAAATGTAGAACCTGACAGGTGTGGTGGCACTGATTTTAATGGTGAAGGTAATAGTGAGGGGGACCAACGTTTTTGAAAGGTGAATAATAATTTTTATCACTGAGGGGAGACACTGAAGTTTGGACAATGTAGGCCTGGACAGTAAAGGGATTTATAGGCATCGGTGGTTTCATTTGCTAGTTGCCTGGGCACAAAGAATTCTGAGAATGACCCAGTAGGAGTAGCAGAAAGGGGGAGCTGACTGGACATGTGAGAGTGGGAACACTGAGGTTCATGCTGAGAGTATGGCCATAAGTGTGGCCCATAGTGTGGCCATGGCAAAGGCAAAGGAGATTTAAGACATGGCATCCCTAGGTAAAGCAAGTTCAGGGTATTGTGAGATTGCAAATGAACCTGCTGGTTCTATTATTTCATCTCAGCAACATAAGTGGACCTGATTCTGCATTTTCTGCATGTGTGGTCTCTTAAAGAAGCAGCTTCAGGGAACTGGAGAAAACAAACGCAAGCTAAAGAGGTCATGGTTGACATATGCATTGTGAATTGATGTCACCATGACAAAGACGATGGGGATACTGAGGAAGATTCATTAAAGGCACAGAGATAATTGTGTGTGTCTATTATTGAGAGGCACTCTAGGTGGGTAGCATTAATAATGACAGCTAAAATTCATTGAGATCTTGCTTTTGCCAAGCACTGAGCTAAGCATCTTAACTTAATTCCCCTATAAAGCTCCTTTTACTAGACAGGTTACTAAGGCTTAGGGAAGGTAGATCATTAAAGGTCATAAAGCTACTAATGATAGAGGCGAAGCAAGTTCTGTTGTGTCTGTTCCCAAAGCCCTTCTCTTAAGGGCTATCATATTGCCCCCTACAGTTTTGAATGTACAGGATTCAGAGTATTAAGATAATAATAGAAGAGTCTGAGTGTTTGTGGAGAAATATGACTTTCGGTTTAGACATGCTGACACTGAGGCGACCGCACATCAATCAAGTAGACAATTAGTGATAATATTAGAGTTTGATAGAGACAGAATTCTTGGCTGCAGCTGGCTATCTAGAAATCTTATTAAAAAGAGGTTTACACTGAAGCCATAAGAGTGATTGAAATTTCCAATGCAGAGAACATACAGAGAAAGGATAGAGGGTCAATAGATGAAGTGAGAACTAGGATAGCATAAAGAAGCATAAAGAAAGCAAAATACTGGCAGAGATAGGAGAGACCTATTGTTGAAAAGTCAAAGAAAATAATACACGCAGAAAGTCTACTTAGTCTATTAATTAACTTTTCATTGATATAAAAAAGAGAATAGTGGCTCCATTTATATATAAATACTTGACATACTTAGAAATAAAAAGTCAAATATTATTTTTAAACACAATTTTATGTGAGAAAACATATAGCAGACATTTGTATGATAAGTGGTTAGAAGTATCTAGGGTGATCAGTGTAGTTACAGGCTGAGCTAATATTACATATTTTCAAAGAAATTTTATAACTAATATATTTAGCCAAAGAGCTACATAACACATAGCATGATTATTATATTAGAATGAGGCTTCTATGGTTTGAAAATTCTCTTGAGAAATGAATGAGAAGCTTGATGGAACACATTTCTTTTTTGTCTTAAATGCCTGTCTTCTGAACTTGCTTTAGAAACAAGCCTTTTTTTTGTCAAGGTGACGATGATGATGTTGATGGTGGTGGTGGTGATGGTGATGGTGTTGGTGGTGGTGTGATTATGGTGGCTAACATATATTAACCATATCCAATCTGCCAGAGCGCTAATCATTTTTAGATAATGTTCATTTAATCCTCAAAAAACTTTAAGAGAGAAACTGTTAACTTCATTTTTAAGATGAGGAAATGGAGGCATAAAGAGGTTAAGTAACTTTCTCTGGGCGTGCAGCTAGTCAGAGGATTCCACATCAGGCAGTCTGATTCAACAACATTCTTCCACACAGATTTTTTGTTTACTTGATAGATTCTTAATTTTATTCATAATTGACACCTAATGATCACACGTGTTTATGGGCTACAGTGTGATGTTTCAATACATGTATACATCGTATAATGATCAAATCAGGGTAGTTAGAATGTCCATCACTACAAACCTTTATCATTTCTTTGTGATGATACCTTTCAAAATCCTCTTTTCTAGCAAAAATATAAACATGTTGTTATTAGTTATAGTCATCCTACTATATAACAAAATACCAGAACTTACTCCTTCTAACTGTAACTTTCTACCCAGCAAACAACCTCTTCCAATCTTTTCTTCCATCTTTGTTTCTGCTGCCTCTGGCTACCACTATTCTAAATTTTACTTTGATGAGATTAGCTTTTGTAGATTCCAAGTATGAGTAAGGTATGAAGTTTTTGTCTTTCTGTTTTTAATTCATTTAACAACATGTTCTCCAGGTTCATTCATGTTGCCACAAATAAAGCATTTCATTCTCTTTTTATAGCTGAATAGTATTTAATCATGTATATATATATATATATATATATATACACACATATATATATATATATACATATATATATATATATACACACACACACAAACACACCATATTTTCTTTATCCATTCATCCATAGATGGACACTTAGGTTGTTTCCATATCTTGGCCATAGTGAATAATGCTGCAATAAATGTGGGAGTGCAGATATCACTTTGACATATGGATTTCAATTCTTGTGTGTATACCAAGTAGTGGGAATGCTGGATCTTATGGTAGTTCTTTTTTAAATTTGTGAAGGGATGTCCATGCTATTTTCTGTAACAGCTGTACTGATCTACATTCCCACCAACAGTGTATAAGCATTCCCTTTTCTCTGCATCTTCACCAACATTTCTTTTTGTCTTTAGAGAATGTAATCCATTTACATTTAAGGTTATGGTTGAAAGCTAAAGGTCAGTACTCCCATTTTGTTACTTGTCTCCTAGGTCATTTATTTCTTTTTTTCTCTTTCACTGTCTTCATTTGCTTTTCTCTGTAATGCGTTTTGATTATGTACTATTTATTTTTAGTGTATCTATTATAGGTTTTTGCTTCATAGTTACCATAGGGCTTAAAAAATAACTTATAATAAATTATTTTAAATTTATTACAACTTAACTTTGATTGCAAAGAAAAATAAAATAGCAAAAACCAAACAACACCATTGTCCACCTTCCCATTTTGACTTTTCAATATTTCCGTTCATGTCTTTTTATACTTCCTATTTCTTAAGTAATCATTGTAGTTATTAATATCTTTAATAGTTTTGTCATTTAGTCTTTATACTTAACATATAAGTGGTTTACATACCACAGTTACAGTATTACAGTATTCTGATTTTGTCTTTATTTTTACTTTTAACATTGAGTTTTATATCTTCAAATATTTTCTTATTACATGTTAGCATTTTGTCTTCAAGACTGAAACGTTTCTTGTAAGACACATCTGGTGTTGATTCCTTCCCTCAGCTTTTGCCTGGAAGAGGTGTTCCCCCCGCCCCACTGCCTTCATGTTTGAATGATAACCTTGCTGGGTATGTTAGTCTTGTCTGGTGATTTTCTTTTTCTTTAATTCTTTGAATATATCATCCCTCTCTCTCCTGGCCTGCAGGGTTTCTGCTCAGAAATCTGCTAAAAGTTATATTGGGGCTCAGTTAAATCTGATATTGTTCTTTTTTCTTGTTCCTTTGAGTTTTCTTTCTTTGCCTTTGATTTTTTAATAATTTGATTATGATGTGCTTTGGGGAATTCCTCTGTAAGTTGAATTTGGTTGGTGACCTCTGAGCTTTCTGTACCTGAATGTCATCATCCTTCTCCACATTTGGGACATTTTTAGCTGTTATTTTATTAAATATACTTTCTAGGGCTTTTACTCTCTGATCTCCTTCAGTAACTGCTACTATGTGAGGTTAGTTTGCCTAATAATGTCTCATAATTTTCTTAATCTTTCTTTAATCTTTTTAATTTCTTTTATCTTTTTGCTCCTTTGATTGGATAGTTTTATAGGTCCCATCTTTAGGCTCCCTGATTTTTTCCCTCTGTTTGATTAAGTCTGCCTTTGAAAATTTCTGGTAGACATTTTCATTTTAGTTATTGTATTCTGTATTTCTAGGTTTTTTATTTGAACTTAAGTTGTTCCTATTTCTTTGTCAAAGTCTCATATTGTTCCTGAATGTTTATCAAATTTCATTTAGTTTTTTTCTTACCTGAATTTTCTTATGATTCCTTGAACTTCTTTAAGAAAATTATACTGAGTTTTTTGTCAGACATTTTATAGATCTTCAGTTCTTCTAAATCCTTTATTGGTTTCTTTGGTGGTTTCATATTTCCCTGAGTTTTCACAATCACTACATCTTTACATTGATACCTGCACATTTGAGAACCTTTTAGACCTTTTTCTAGTGTTGTTTGGTGGTGTTAAACTTTTATTACTTAAATAAGGAACTTAATCACTGGCCTACTGTTTCTTCCCATTCTAGGGAGGACATATATTGAAAATTGGAACTTAAGCATTACACAAGAATTAAACGGCTGCCTTGCCATTGTTTCACATTCTAGGGAAGTGAGCTTTCAAAATTATTGGGCAGTCTTTTAGTTGTTTCTCAGACAGGGAAAGGCTCCATGTAAACCTCTTAGTTTTGTGGAAAATCTGACCAGGATCTCTGGCATTCCCATGAATCATGCCCCCTGTGGCCCTGTGGCATTAGCTAGTCTTCTTAGCATGGCATCCTCACTGTTTGTAGTGCTTAGTAGCCACCAACATCTGCACACTAGTTGCTGCGATCAAATGCCTGCTCCTTGTCCCCAGTTCATCCCAGGTGGTTCGGCCCTCTTGGCAGTCCTAATGTTTCTGTGGGATGGGACTAGAGTGGGCTTCCTATGAAGATTCTCAGACCAATAGGGAGATCAAACATCCACCTCCAATTCCCTCCTCCATCCTTGGAAACTGTGGGTCAAGGGAAATTTTATGTGGGTAGTATTATGCTGGCTTGGAAGAGGAGGTGGCACAGTCTAAAATGAATATTCTTTTTACCAGTTATGGCTTCTTTAAATTCTGTGGGCCCAGGATTTTCAATGCTAGTCTTCTCTATCCTGGTGAATTCAGGGGGATGTTCTAGTTTTTAAGTGGCTTCTGGTAGTGCTTTTGTTGGAAGAGTGATGCAAGGGGATTTTCTATTCTGCCATCTTGGTGACGTCACTTCTAAACTCTCTCATTAAATCAAGAAAATTATCTCTGCGGTGGGAAAAAAGGTTTCCACAGTAAGACCTAAGCTTCTTTGTATTCACAGTATTTACCTGCTTAAAATAATTTTTTAGATAGCCAGTAAAAATCGTGTTAAAGCACTAATTCTTAAAGTCTAAGATGACTATGTAAGGGAAAATGTTATAAATAGAAAAAATAATAGAAAATATTGGGTCGAAAGTTAATCAACCTGAAAAAAGTATCATATATATGAAAACCTTTCAGAAGTGGATGCCATAACACAAACAGGAACACAGAATGGCAACCCAGTATTAACAACTAGGAGTAGGCTCCCCTAGAAAGCATTCTCTTCCTTACCTTCCGTGTCACTTTTCTCTGGCTTCCTTTTCCCACATCCAGTCTGTCCTGCTTCAAACATTTATACACTCTGCCTCAAAGGTGACTTTATTAACAAATTGAATCATGTGCCTCCTCTTCTTTAGAATACTTTTTACTTGATGCTTTATAATTCCTCTAACATGACAAGTACAGCTCCAAAAACTGTTCCCATATCCTCCTTTCTCCTTTCTTATTATTTTTCACCCACGTAGAATGTGTCCTAACTTGCTATTATATAAACACAACTAACACTTTCAACCTACCAAGCCTTTAAAATTCTATTTCTATATCTGAAATATCTTTAATCTTCTCTGTCTATTAAACACTTATTTTTGGGGGTAGACATAATATAAATTTATTGTAAAGCTTCATCTAACATTGCCTCTCTTTTATAGTTTCTCTTTTCTCATGACCTTAAGGCACTGTGTACATCATTTCATCATAAAACCCTTTCCACTGTATTACACACATATAGTTCCTACCAAATAGAGGGCTCCTCAAAGGAGGAAGCCTTTTTAATTTTTTAAATACTTCTTTGGATTTCAAACACCTAAGTGGAATGCTTACTTTTTGTAGAATGAAGTTGATTTTCAGTAAATGAATATTTATGTATTTGAATTAGTGGAAAAATTAATGAACTTTCATACAAAAAAGATATTAATATTTTAACAGTTACTCAATCCATTTTTATGTTAAGTACTAAGCATTCAAAATCATATATTGTGTAGAAAGCTATTGATTAGGAGAGAGAAATAAATGTGTTTTAATTCTAGCTTCACAACATTTATTAAGCTATCCAAATGACCATGAACATTTAATTTTTAGAGACTCAATTTCCTCACCTGTGAAATACAGATTATACTCCCTGTGTTCTTAGCTCATGGAACTTTCATAAAGATGAAATGGAATAATGGACTTCAAAAGGCAAAAAATGCCATGTTTGTGTGGACATGAGGAGATTCATTTATAATGTCTAGTCAGAATAAAGCCACACAAGGATACATTGAAAGAGTGGCATTTTGGGGTGTTTGTGAAACCAGGTATTGAACTGTGGCAGAGAATTCTGGGCTGTACAGCTGGAAGGAAATGTAGAAATATTGGACTCTTGGGAGCTAGAGGCAAGAGTGGGCCAGAGAGTGGGAGAAAAGAGGGAAGCATATCGCCTTAAAAACCAATTTCTCTGAAGGCTCAACTGACACTTTTGCCCTCACCAAAGGTGAATCTATCTACCTTATATACATTGAGGGAGAAAAATAATTTTCTTACTAAAAATGTAGGAAAAAAAGTTTTCCAATGAGAATTTTCTGTTAAAACATGAAAAGGATCACTTTAACATGATCCAGTGGTTGGAAATTAATTTATTTCCACATTAGATATGTTTAAGGTTCATTTTATGTGCATTTGCAATGTTTTATAACAATATCAAATTTCAAAGTAAAGTGTAAAGAAAATACTTAGTTTTGAAAGGCTCAGTTATTTAAAAATTATTTTTAGCCAGAACGTTACAGCATAAAATCTAAACTTGTATAGCAGATGCAGTGGGTGGTAGGTTGCAACCTGACCTAAACATACTTCCCAAAGGTAAATCACTTATATTTTGGAAAGAAATATATACATTTTAAGCTGGTTTGAATAACTCCATTAAAGGGAATAAATTGGCCTATAAAATGGACTTTAATGGTTTCCATTATAATATTTTGTTATGCTACCAGAATTTATCTAATTAATTTGTAAATCATATTAAAACCTTTGACTTTAAATTGTAATGAAACCACAGACTATTTTAGTGTTATGATTTTTAAAAGAGCTTCTATATGACTCTATGGACAAAATGTATGTGAGAAGTTGCATTGGGTCACCATCTTGAACTTAGTAAGATTTGCTTATTGTAATTTCTTCTCTATTTAAGTTAATTTTATTGTCTTAATGTGGTTGCATTTTTGTATCTATGTGACTCTAATAATATCAAGGGCAGTTCTGCTCTAGACCTGTAGACCATATTTTCCCTTGATTTTACGGATAGAAGTTGTTCATAAAAGAATCTCCTGGAGTCTGAATATACAGAATTAAAATTATCTTTAGATTTTACTTTATTGAAAATCACTCTGGTTTGAGAGAGTTTGGGTAAGAAGTGACCAGTAAGGTCTCAATAGCCTTCCTGAGTTTTGACCAACTGCCAAGAAGAAGAGGATTGCTTCTTCTGAATATGGAGATACATCACATATGACAATTTTACTGAGTGTTAAAAGTAAATTTTGTAGTTTATTCATTTTGTCTCTCACCCCTCTCACCTACCCACCACCAGACTGACTTTTATAAAACACCTCACATTTATTATACTTTTTTAAAGCTCGATTCCTTTCTTTATGAGCCATTTTTGATTTTTATTTTATCTATAAAAGAAGCCTCAAAATTCTCCCTATATTCCTCTAAAATAAAGACTAAAAGTCATGACCACTTGTCCCTTTCTCGTAATATTACAATTTAATCCTTCTCTGATAGTAGATTAAAGAAATGTTCTACTTCCCTGTAGTTAAATTTTAATTATCTTATAGAAGAAGTCAGTTATAAATAAACATGGACATACATAAGAAAACACCTATTTTTTTCCGGGAAATACGGAGAGTGGGGTGTGTGTGAAAGAGAGAGAGACAGAAAGGGATAAATGGAACAAAGGTGTTAGGGTGCAGCTTCGGAGTGGGTAGATATAAAATAATAAAGGAAAAAAGACCAATGAATCAAATGAATATGGTAAAAATGTATTTAAATGTGAAATACCTGAGGATATAGGCATGTATGTTTTTTCAACAATTAACAATTTGTAATAAAATTTTCTCATATGGGATTAAATATATGTGTGACTTGATCCCAAGTGTGCTGTGCTATAGGATACATATTACCTCATAAGAAGAATGCTGTGGAAAAAAGGGAAAGATGAGAATGTTATAATCAATGAATGGAAATATTTAAGCAAAATTAAAACTTACACCACAATAGTACCGGGAATGGAATATTAAGGGTATGGTGACTTTATTCTCCTACTACCTTGTTTTTTATTTTTTATTTTTCTAGGCACATTACATATTTTGGTACAGGTATACAATGTGTAATAATCACATGAGAATAAATAGGGTATCCATCACTTTAAGCATTTGTCACTTATCCTTTCTGTTACAAACAATCCAGTTACACATTACACAGTTCTAGTTTTTTTGTTGTTGTTTTGTTTTGTTTTGTTTTTGTTTTTGTTTGGAGATGGAGTTTCACTCTTGTTGCCCAGGCTGAGGCTGGAGTGCAATAGTGCCATCTTGGCTCACTGCAACCTCCGCCTCCCAGGTTCAAGCAATTCTCCTGCCTCAGCCTCCGGAGTAGCTGGGATTACAGGCATGCACCACCACACCCAGCTTATTTTGTATTTTTAGTAGAGATGGGGTTTCTCCATGTTGGTCAGGCTGGTCTCGAATTCCCGACTTCAGGTGATCCACCCACCTGAGCCTCCCAAAGTGCTGGGATTACAGGTATGAGCCACTGCGCCTGGCCTAGTTATTTTTAAATGCACAATTAAATTATTTTTGACTATAGTCACCTTGTTATGCTATCGAATACTGAATCTTATTCATTATTTTAACTATTTTTTGTACCCATTAAACATCCCTACTTCTCCTCCAATCCCCACTACACTTCCCAGTCTCTGGTAACTATCATTTTTCTATCTCCATGAGTTCAATTGTTTCAATATTTAGCTTTCACAAATAAGTGATAACATGCAGTTTTTCTGTCTATGACTGGCTTATTTCATTTAAATTAATGACCTCTAGTTCCAATCATGTTGTTGAAAATGACAAGATCTTGTTATTTTTTAAGGCTAAATAGTATTCCATTGTGTATATGTATCACATTTTTTAATCCATTCCTCAGTTGATGGACACTTAGATTGCTTCCAAATCTTGGCTATTGTGAATAGTACTGGAATAAATATGGGTGTGTAGATATCTCTTCAATATCTCAATATCTTTCCTTTAGGACTGGAGTCCCCAACCCCCGGGCTGTGGACAGGTACAAGTCTGTTGCCTGTTAGGAACCAGGTCACACAGCAGGAGGTGAGTGGCTGGCAAGCCAGCATTACAGCCTGAACTCCACCTCCTGTCAGATCAGTGGTGGCATTAGATTCTCATAGGAGCTGGAACCCACTTGTGAACTGAGTATGGAGGGATCTAGGTTGTGCAACCTCTATGAGAATCTAATGCTAATGCCTGAGGTGGAGCAAAGTCATCCCAAAACCATACCATCTCCCACCTCTACCCCCATCCGTGGAAAAATTGTCTTCCACAAGACCAGTCCCTGGTGCCAAAAAGGTTGGGGACCACTGCTTTTGAGTGTATACCTAGAAGTGGGATTATGAGATCAGATGGTATTTCTATTTTTAGTTATGTGAGGAACCTCCAAACTGTTCTCCCTAGTGTTTGTAATAATTTACATTCCCACCCAGAGTATGCAAGGGTTCCCTTTTCTCCACATTCTTACATTCCTTATTGCCTGTCTCATTGATAAGCGCCATTTTAACCAGGGTGAGATAATATTTCATTGTGATTTTGAGTTGCATTTCTCTGATGGTCAGTGATGTTGAGCACTTTTTCATATACCTGTTTGTCATTTGTATGTCTTCTTCTTATAAATGTGTATTCAGATCTTTTTCCCATTTTTTAATCGAATTATTAAAGTTTTCCCTATGGAATTGTTTGAGCTCCTTATATATTCTGGTTATTAATCCCTTGTCAGATGGATAGTTTGAAAATGTTTTCTCCCATTCTGTGGGTTATCTCTTTGTTGATTGTTCCCTTTGCCATGCAGAAACTTAACCTCATGTGATCTCATTTGTCTATTTTTGCTTTAGTTGCCTGTGTTTGTGGGGTATTACTCAAGAAATCTTTGCCCAGTCCTGAAGAGGAGTTTCCCCAATATTTTCTTGTCTGAGGTCTTAGATGTAAGTCTTTTATCCATTTTTCTTTCATAATTTGAGGCCTCAGATGTAAGTCTTTCATCCATTTTTGATTTTCTTTTTATATGTGGCAAAACATAGGGATCTAGTTTCATTCTTCTGTATATGAATATCCAGTTTTCCCAGCATCGTTTATTGAAGGGATTGTCCTATTCCCAATGTATGCTCTTGGAACCATTGTAGAAAATAAACTTACTGTTTAGGTGCATGGACTTTTTAAAAAATTTTTTGTGGGTACATACTAGGTGCATATATTTATGAAGTACTTGAGATATTCTGATAGAGGCATGCAATGTGAAATTAGCACATCATTGAGAATAGGGTATCTATCTCCTCAAGCATTTATCCTTTGAGTGAAAAACTGTCCCATTACATTTTTCTTTTTTTTTTTTTTTGAGATGGGGTTTCACTCTGTCACCCAGGCTGGAGTACAGTGGCTCAACCATGGCTCACTGCAGCCTCGACCTCCTGAGCTTAGGTGATTCTCACACCTCAACCTCCTGATTAGATGAGACTACAGGTATGTGCCAACATTCCCAGCTAATTGTTTTTGTATTTGGAGTAGAGAGAGGGTTTTACCAGGTTGCCCAGGCTGGTCTCAAACCCCTGGGCTCAAGTGATGCATCTGCCTCAGTCTCCCACAGTGCTGGGATTACAGGTGTAAGCCACCTTGCCTGACCCAATTATACTCTTAAGATTATTTTAAAATGTACAATTAAGTTATTATTGACTATTGTCACCTGTTCCATTGGTCTGTGTGTCTGTGTTTATGCCAGTAGCATGCTGATTTGGTTAGTATACCTCTGTAGTATAATTCAAAGTCAGGTAATGTAATGCCTCCAGTCTTGTTCTTTTTGCTCAGCATAGCTTTGGCTATTCTGGAGCTTTTCTAGTTTCATCTAAATTTTAGAATTTTTCTTTCTATTTCTGTAAAGAATGTCATTGGTATTTTGACATGAATTACAATGAATCTGTAGGTTGCTTTGGGTACTATGGACATTTTAACAATATTGATTCTTCCAGTCTATGAACACAGAATATAATGCCAATATTTTTGTGTCCTCTTTAATTTCTTTTATCAGTGTTTTATATTTTCATTGTAGAGAACTTCCACTACTTTGGTTTGTTAATTTTTAGGTACATAATTTTATTTGTAGCTATTGTAAATGGGATTATTTTCTTGATCTTTTTCAGATTTTTGCTTTTGGCATATAGAAATGCTACTGATTATTGTATGTTGATTTTGTATCCTGTGACATTTCTGAATTTATCAGTTCTAATAGTTTTTTGATGGAGTCTTTAGGTTTTTCCAAACATAAGATCATATAATTTGTAAACAAGGATAATTTGACTTCTTTTCCAATTTGAATTCACTTTATTTATTTCTCTTTCTGATTTCTTTAGTTAGGACTTCGAGTACTATGTTAAAAAACAATGTTGAAAGTGGTCATCCTTGTTGTGTTCCACATTTTAAGGGAAAGACTTTCAGTTTTTTCCCCATTCAGTGTGATACTAACTGTGGGTCTGTCATATATGGCTTTTATTCTGTTAAGGTATGTTCCTTGTATACCAAGTATTTTGAGGGGTTTTATCATGAAAAAAATGTTGAATTTCATCAAATGCTTTCACAGCATTAATTGAAATGATCATATGATTTTTGTCTTTCATTCTGTTGATAAAATGTATCACATGGATTAATTTACTTATGCTGAACCATCATCCTTGGGGTAAATCCCACTTGGTCATGAATAATGATCTTTTTAATGCATTGTTGAATTCAGTTTGCTGATATTTGATTGAGGATTTTTGCATCGATGTTCATCAGAGATAATTGGCCTGTAGTTTTCTTTTTTCTTTTTCTTTCTTTCTTTTTTTTTTTTAATGTATCTTTGCTTTTGGTAACAGAATCATACTGGCCCCATACGATGAGTTTGGAAGTTTTTCCTTTGTCTCTATTTCTTGGATTAGTTTTAATAGGATTGGTAGTAGTTCTTTACATGTTTGGTAAAATGTATTAGTGAAGCCATCAGGTGCTGTGCTATTCTTTGCTGGGAGACATTTGATTATGGCTTGGATCTTGTTACTTGTTATAAGGTTTTGATTTGTTTCATGGATCTGTTTGTAGGTTGTATGTGTCTAGGAATTTATTCATTTCTTCTGGATTGCCTAATTTATTGGTATATAGTTGCTCATAGTAGTCTACAATGATTCTTTGAATTTCTGCAGTATTGGTTGTAATGTCTTCTTTTTCATCTCTGATATTATTTATTTGGGTATTCTCTCTTTTTCTTAGTTAATCTGGCTAAAGTTTTGTCAATTTTGTTTATCTTTTCAAAAGAACTTTTTTTGCTTATTGATCTTTTGTATTGTTTTCTTCAGTTCAATTTCATTTATTTCTTTTCTCATTTTTATTATTTTTTTCTACTAATTTTGGGTTTGGTTTGCTCTTGTTTTTCTAATTTTTTTAAGATGCATCATTAAGCTGTTTATTTGAAGTTTATATTCTTCTTTGATGTAGGCACTTACAGCTATAAACTTCCCTCTTTGTACTACTTTTGCTGTATCCCATGGATTTTGGTAGGTTGTGTTTTCATTACCATTTGTTTAATGAAAACTTTCAATTTTCTTCTTACTTTCTTCATTGACCCCACTGGTCATTCAGGAGCATTTTGTTTTATTTCCATTTGTTTGTGTGGTTTCCAAAATTCCTTTTGTCTAACTCTCTCTTTAGCTCTAATAACTTTTGCTTTTTATATCTGGGAGCTCCAGTGGTAGGTGCAAATATATTTATAATTGTTAAATCGTCTTGCTGATTTGACCCCTTTATCATTACATAATGGCCTTCTTTGTCTCTTTTTGTTGTTTTTGTCTGAAATCTATTTTGTCTTATACAAGTATAGCTACTGCTCTTTTTTTGGTTTCCATTGGCATGAAGTATCTTGTCCTTCCCCTTTATATTCAGGCTATCTGGGTCTTCATAAGGGAAGTATGTTTCTTGTAGGCAACAGATTGTTTGGTATAATTTTTAATTCATTCAGTCAATGTACATTTTCATTAGAGAATTTAGTCAATTTATATTCAATGTTATTATTGATAAGAAAGGACTTACTCCTACCATTCTATTATTTGTTTCCTAGATACTTGTAGTCGTCTTTTTTTCTTTTCCTTCTTCCTGTCTTCCTTCTAGTGAAGATGATTTTCTCTGGTAGTATGTTTCAATTTCTTGCTTTTTTTTTTTTGTATCCATTGTATGTTTTTAGATTAGAGGTTACTAGGAGGTTTGCAAATACTATCTGATAACCCATTATTTTAAACTGATGGCAACTTAACACTGATTACATAACCAAACAAATAAAACAACAGACAAGCAAGAGAAAACTAATAAAACTCTACACTTCAACTTCGTCTCCCTATTTTTTAATTCTTTGCTCTTTCTGTTTATATCTTGCTGTAGTTCCTTTCTTGAAAAGTTCTTGTAGCTATTATTTTTGATCAATTCTTTATTTCATCTTTGTACTTAAGATATGAGTTTACGCACCACAATTACAGTATTATATTCTGTGATATTCTGTGCACATACTATTACCAGTGAGTTTGGTACCTTCAGACGATTTCTTATTGTTCACTTACATTCTTTTCTTTCTGATTAAAATATTGCCTTCAGCATTCCTTATGGGACAGGTCTGGTGTTGATAAAAACCCTCAGCTTTCCTTTGTCTGAGAAAGTCTTCATTTCTTCTTCATGGTTGAAGGATATTTTCACCAGATGTACTATTTTAGGGTAAAAATTTTATTCCTTCAGCACTTTAAATGTGACATGCCACTCTCCACTGGCCGGTAAGGTGTCTCCTGTCAGATGTAATGGAGCTCCATTGCATGCTATTTGTTTCTTTTCTCTTGCTGCTTTTAGGCTTCTTTTTTTCCCCTTGAACTTTGGGAGTTTAAATATTAAATAGCTTGAGGTAGGCTTCTGTGGGTTAAATCGTCTTGGTGTTCTATAACCTGCTTGTTCTTGGATATTGATATCTTTCTCTAGGTCTGGGAAGTTGTCTGCTATTATTCATTTGAATAGACTTTCTCTGCCATCTTAATCTCTACCTCCTCTTTAAGGCCATTAACTCTTTTGAGGCTAGATAATAACTTTTTTAGGGCTATTTTCTAGATCTGGTAGGCACACTTTGTTCTTTTTTATTCTTTTTTCTTTTGCCTCCCTTGAGTATTTTCAAATTGCCTGTCTTCAAGCTCACTAATTCTTTTTCTGCTTGATTACTGCTGCTATTAAGAGATCCTGATGCATTCTTAATTATGTCAATTGCATTTTTCAACTCCATAATTTTTTCTGGATTCTTGTAAAATATTTCCCTGTCTTTGTTAAATTTTTTTGATGGAGTTGTTCATTCCTTCTCTGTGGTATCTTGAATTTCTTTGAGTTTTCTAAAGCAGCCGTTTTGCATTCTCTAACAGGTCACCTAGCTCTGTCTTTCCAGGATTTGTTCCCAGTGACTTATTTAGTTCATGTGGTAAGGTCATGTTTTCCTGCATGTTCATGATGTTTGTGTATGTTTGTCAGTGTCTAGTCATTTAAAAGTTAGGTATTTATTGTACTTCTCATAGACTGGGCTTGTCTTTACCCATTCTTGTTGGGATAGTTTTTCAGGTATTCAAAGGCACTTGGGTGTTGAGAGCTAAGGTTTTAGTCACTGCAGCTATATCTGCATTAGGGGGCACTCCAACCCCAGTAACACTGGAGTTCCTGCAGCATCACAGAGGTATGGCCTTTATGGTCTTTGTTAAGTTCCAGAAGAATTATCTGGATTACCAGGTAGAGACACTTGTTGTCTTCCCTTACTTTCTCCCCAAAAAATGAAATCTCTCTTTCTTTCTCTGTGCTGAGCTGTCTGGGGCTGGGAGAGGGGTGACAGAACCACCCCTGTGTCCACCACTACTGGGACTGCACTAGGTCTGACCTAAAGCTTGCACAGCACTGGGTCTTGCCCAAGGCACAGTGTAACCACTACCTAGATACCACCTATCTTCATTGAAGGCTCTAGGACTCTACAATCATAAAGTGGCAGTGCCAGCCTGGCTTGTGTCTTTTCTTTTAGGGCAGTGAGCTCCCCCACACCCAGGTGGGTCCAGAGATCCTGTCTAGGAGCTAGGGCCTAGGGTGAGAAACCTTAGATATTTACCTGGTTCTTTATTCGCCTGCAGCTATGCTGGCACCAAAACCACAAGATGCACTTCTTCCCACTCTTCTCTCCCTTTTCTCCAAGCAGAGGAGTCTCTCTCCATATTCATACCACCACAGGCCCCTGGTGAGTACAGCCAGGCTACCACTGATGTTCACTTAAGCCCCAAGGGCTCGTCAGTTAGTTTTTGGTGAATGCTGCCACACCTAGGACTCACTCATCAGGGCAATGGACTCCCCTACAGTTCAGGGTAAGCACAGAAATGCCATTCAAGAACCAAGGCCTAGAATCAGTGTCCCCAAGTAACTTCTCGGTGCTCTTCTCCACTTTGGCCAAGCTGGTACCTAAGCTGCAAGACAAAGTCCCCTTTAATTTCCTTCACCTTTTTACAAGAAAAAGGAGTCTCTTCCCATAGCCACCACAGCTGTGAATGTGCTAGGTCACACCTGAATCCAGCACATCTCAGAATTTCATCCAAGGCACATGGCATGTACTACCTAGTCACTGCTGCTAATTATTCAGAGCCCAAGGGCTCCTTAGTCATCAGGTGGGGAATCCTGCTGGGACTTGGTCCTTCCCTTCAGGGCAGTAGGTTCCCTTCTGGACAAGGTGTGTCTAGATATATTTTCCAGACCCTAGAGACTGGAATAAAGGCCTCATGACTCTGCCCTGTACCCTATCCTTCTGCTGTTGAGTTGGTATCCAAGTTTCAAAGCAGAGTCATTTTACTGTTTCCTCTCCTGCCTCAAGTGGAAAGAAGGGGTCTGCTTTGGAGTTGTGAATTGTGCTTCCTGAGATTGGGGAAAAATGATGCAAGTACTCCTTTAGCCACCCCAGCTGGTGTCTCACTAAGTTGGCGGCCCCTCAAGTCCACTGGTTCTGTGCCCAGAACAGCACTAGGACTTGCCTAGGAGTTATAATCCTTGCTGCTTAGACTGCCTTTCAAGTTTATGTAGCACCCCAGAGCACTTTAGCCCACAGTAGCAAGACTTGACAACACTCAGGTTCTGCCTGACTGCTAGGATGGGCAATTGCCCTCTGGCTGGGATTAGTCTAAATAGTCCCTGCACACATGTTGTCTGAGTTCTCCTCAGTTTTGGCAGCACTGAGTTCCAGTGTAAAGTCCCACAGTTACTGCATTCTTCCTCCCCGGAGTGTACAGATTCTTTCTCTGTGCCACCTGGCCACTGTCAGGTGCAGGGGAGCTGGGTGAGGGAGGAGTGGTGTTGGAAGTTCAAGGCTCTTTCCTACTCCCTTTAGTGCCTCTTTCAGTGATATGAAGTTAAAATCAGGCACTGTTATCGCTTACCTGATATGTGATTCTTATGAATGTATTTTTTGTGTAGATATAAATGTGGTGTTTCTATAGGGAGGACAATTAATGGAGGCTTCTATTGGATCATCTTCCTCTACCTCCTCCTCTCCTTCCCACTTTGCATGTCCAAAAGAGAGGCAGCAAAAATTTACTTAAGTGAGCCTAGGTGGAAACCCCCAGAAGTTTTTCTTTTTCTGATGTTCCCTGAGATTGTCCTATTTGTCACATGGTAATTCTCTCTCTCTCTCTCTTTCTACTTCTCTCTCTCTCTCTCTCTCTCTCTCTGTGTGCATGCCTTATTTTAATGAAACACTTTCCAGATGTATCACAGCTATTCTCAATCACTTTGTTGTAGTTTACGAAGTTTCGCCTGGGGTAATATTTCAATATTTGGAAAAAAGTGATTCATTTATTGTAACAAATGACTTAATAAACAATCTGCTGCTTTTCCTGTGTTGCCAAATTTGAACATATTCATGAAGGACTAGGAAGTAGACTCCCTAACACATTTGAACATAAACCTCAAGACATGTAAAAGCATCAAAAAACATAATTTTAGGACAAATTAGATTTGCTTTCTGAATCTTACTTTCCAGCTATTAGACAAAATGAAAGATAAGATCTATTTAGGAAAAACCTGACAATATATAGGAAAAACAAAGCATAAAAATGTGTTAAAAACAACTCGATGAATGAAGATCGGTCTTTTTAACCAATCAGAGATGTTCCAAATGGTTAATATGTTAAGCAAATAAACTCTCAAATAAATTTACCTGTGACATGTAACTATTTGGGAGAGACACAGATAAATTTAGAGCAGCATTCTAGTATTTTATTTCCCTCCATTGTAGGATGAATGGACAACAGGAATGAATACAAAGCAGGCTCTCTCTGTCCAGCATTTAGCAGAAAAAATTCTCTATCCTTAGCTCAATCGCACCCTGGAAAACTCTCATGTTGTGAAGAGGAAAGGCAGTTTCCACTGTCACTCACTTTTTATTTATAAACCAAGGTCCTTATGAATCTGGAAATTTTCCCACTGTAACTTCAAGAGTAAGATATACATATTTTTTAATGTTACATTTAAAAAGAGTCTCCCATCACAACTGGACTCTCAGAATACATATGAATTTCGGAATACAATACTAGTTTTCCATCACAATTGGACTCTCAGAATACGTATGAAATATGAAATAATATGAAAAATCAAAATATGCACATGTATTCACACATACTCAAAGTGCTTAAATGTTTTAATCTTGAAACATAGCAGAATTTTAAATCTTGAAGAAATTTTAAATACTTTCTTAACTTTAAAGATTCTCCCACAAAGTAACACAATCATGTCCTTTGCAAGCAACATGGAGGTAGCTGGAAGCTATTATGCTAAGCAAACTAATGCAGGAAGAGAAAACCAGAAACCACATGTTCTCACTTATAATCAGGAGCTAAACATTGAATACATGTGGACACAAAGATGGGAATGATAGACACTGTGGACTGATTGACATGGGAGGGTGGGAGGGAAACATCGGTTGAAAAACTATTCGGTTCTTTGCTTTCATTTGTACACCAAACCTTAGTGACACAAAATTGACCCATGTAACAAATCTGCACATGTACTCCCTGAACCTAGAATAAAAGTAGAGAAAATTTAAAAAATAAGATTCTTCTCTAAGTGCAACCAACAGCTATGAGATACTACTCCAGATGCTAGTGTTCTTACTAACAAATTAATAGAGGGCTCAGTTAGGGTAGTTTGAACAAATAAGTGATAGTTTCTCAATTAGTAATAGCAGGGTTTTAATTAAGCTGAGTATAAGGTTGAGCAAGGAAAACCACAAAAGCATCAATTATTTACATTACTACATAGTTGTACAAAACTGAAAATTGACTTTCGGAATTGCCACTGGATTTCCTTTTGTTTTAGTGACTGGTCTTGCACAATCATTTTGTATCTACGGGAAAATAAAGAGTGCATCTTCTACATGAAAAGAAGTCCTTCCATTAAAATTTAAGACTGTGATATGAATAATAGGGTAAGAGAAAGGATTAATACAGTAAACTATGCATTATGTTGAAAAAACAGTAATTGTGAACAAACAAGTCTGGGAATTAAATCTTTCTTAAATTTGATTGCAGGCTCAGATTATTTTAAGGAAATTTTAAATAGCTTCTGAGGTTTACTTATATTTGACAGTTAATTGCTGATTACTTTTCCTTATTATCAAATTGTTACTTTAAAATATAAGCTACAGTTCTTTTATGCATGGGAGTATACAGTTCTAGCTTATCATTAAAACATTTTTGCTTTATCTCCCTAAACCACAATGTCACTTTTGGTGCCAAGACTATTAGGCTACTACTTTCTCTTAACTTAAGAGTGAGCTGAAATACTGTTATGACCAATAATGACAGATGATCTTAAAAACAGCATTTAATAAAGGCCTAGTTTGCCCTTCTCAGGAAACAAAACCAATTCAGAGAATTCAGAGCATCTATTTATATGTGCTCTTGGGAGTAAAGGAACATGTAATATGTCCTTCAAGTTTTATGTCTTTTATTTTTGTAAGGAACATACAAAGTCTTAAAATGTCACCAGTGGTTTTTCAGAAGGATAGTGGCTAAGGTTGATTACTCATAGTGTATAGAAATGCTCAACAAACACAGCTTGAAAATGCCAAATGTGATAAGAAATCATAAATTAAAAAATAAGCAGTAATTTTCTAAAATTGCTCATTTTAAGTTTAAATACTTATATTACTCATAGGACTATTAAGTTGTTTTGTTTTTTATTTGTTTTAATTTTTAAAAACATGAATATCTGCAAAATTCTTCCTCCTGAACTACACTGGTTGATGAAAAGAAAGAGACTCTTCATTGTCTTTCAGCTCCCCCTCCCCTAACATAACAGAGAAGACTTTATTATGGAAGTCCAAAAATGTCTTCAAATGTTTTTCAAATGTGTGTTCAGCAGAGGAATAACCACCAGCCATTCCTAGACAAAGAGAAATGTCGGCCACTGATTCCCTTCTCCATTCAGTGTAAGTTGCATTTGCAGCAGAGTCTCAAGCAGGAACATCAAGAAGAAAACCTTTATTGAGTTTTCAGATCCTTGATTATTCCCTGTGGCCCTAGAAGAATAGTCTATGCAGAAGGCTAAATGAGATCTTTGTCCTTTTGACATTTTATAACCAGCATGGCATTAGTCCTGCTCAACAACTTCTTGTAGCAGAATCCAGGAAATCATCTGCTACACTTAGCTATCAAAGCTCAAGCTGCTCTCCTGCAGAGTAGCTGATCAGTGACATGAAGGACACAGTCATCAGCAACCATTTTTCTTAGAATCTAGGATCCCATGGACTGTAAGAAGCATGGCGCCCAAGTCATGAAAATAAAGAAGGTTTAAAAGAAAAAAGAAAAGAAAAAATGTTATAAATTGCATTGTAAAATGCCATCAATTGTAAGACTCAGCATCATTTCGGAGAAGTTAAAATATGAAAACATATGTCTTTGAATTGATGAAATATGATAAATTGTTCCTCTTAAATCTTTAGCGAGTTTATATCTGAAGATTAAATAAAAGAACCAAACTGGCAAGAAGAAAAAGAGTATTTTTAAAGTAAATAATTAGCTTACATTTTTAAGTTATCATCTACAAAAAGTAAATAGAACACATGAAAATGAGAAATTGTGAAGCTATCTAAATAGGTAACACCTCTTCCATCTCTTATCCTTATTCACTGACTTCTTAACCATCTCTCTTACTGTCAGTGGATATCTACCTTTTACCAAGATCCTCAGGAGATTTTTGTGCATATTAAAATTTGAGATGTGCTGAGCTGGAATATATTGTTCCTGAGTGGGCTGGTTAAGCTGTATGAAAGTCCACTAACAGCTTGTGAAGAATTGTGTATCTGCTTGGCTTTGTGAAATGGTAAAATTAAGTTATGACCTATCACCTCATAGTATTTTAAACACTAACAGGAGAATATGTTTAAATATAAGTCTTAATGGAATAAAAGATCCTGCTTGTCTCTCTCTCTCGGATAATATTTTAAGTTTCACATGTTGCATATCTGTAAAAAATAAAAATGCCATTTTTGGGGAGTGCTTTACTTAAAGCAGAAGAATGTTTTATTAAGGCGTTTTATTCAAGTGTATATAAAAATTATGTATTCTGGAAGTAAAAATTTATACATATAAATATCCACACATTAAATTAGTTACTGTAGTGGTAGCACAAATAGTCTTACAGTTTAAGGCTACCTAACAGGGAAAAAAAAAAAAAAAGAATGTCAGCAGCAAAACCATCTCTGGGTAATTAACAAAAAAAAAATGAAATTTGAATTGTGATAAGACATTAGCATTCTCACGTTCACTGCAGCACTATTCACAACAGCCACGATTTAGAAGCAACTTAGCTGTCCATTAATGGATGACTGGATAAAGGAAATATGGTATATATATGTAACAAAATATTATTCAGTCTTTAAAAAGAAGGAAATTTTATAACATGGGACAATATAAATGAACCGTGAGGATATTATGCTAAGTGAAATAAGCCAGTCACAGAAGGACAAATGCTAAATGAGTGCACTCATATGAGGTACCTAGAATAATCAGATTTATAGAAATGAAAGTACAATATTGGTTGCCACTGGCTGGAGGGGAGGAGGAAGTGGATAGTTGCAATAAATGGGCATAAAGTTTCAGTTATGCAAGATGAATAAGTTCAAGAGATCTACTGTACAATATGATGCCTAACATTAACAATATTGCATTGTACATTTACAAATTTGGTAAGAATGTAGATTTAATGTTAAATATTCTTACCACAATAATTTATTTTTTAAAAAAGAAAGAATCATTGTTTTGCTCATTCTAATTTCCGAAGCAGTCAAAACAGTAAAAGTGCTGTCTGTTTTCTTTTCTCTATAAGAATATTTTGAAGAGCAGGGATACACACATCGAATTTTCATCTAGTGAAATGCAAGTTATTTAAAACCTCTTCCATCTCTTTCATCTTCTTTACTTCTTAGCCATCTTACAATCAGTGAAAATGGAGACAGTCAAAATGAAATGGAGAAAACTGCCTAGGTAATGCAATTAATTTATAAAACTGGTCTACTATATACTTGAAGGAAGAAAAAAATCTCAAAACTGACAACAAAATTAAAATAAAATAAAACAAGTGTTTACTAAATTCATATATTCAATTATAAATCAATGCCACAAGATTTACCCAAATTTCAAAAATCATTAAAATATTACCTTAATCACTAAAATTATCAAACTCAGTTGATTCAGATAAGAAAAGAGGCTTCTCAGGCAGCAATATTGTAGCACACTACCTCCCCACATCATGGACTCCACAGGAATTCACTTAATGTCTTATTGGGCACCACTGGTACCTCTTGGAGCCCCAGTTTTCTCGTCTACTGCATTAGTGTGATAATGCTGCTGATCTGGGGTTTCTGTGAGAAAACTCCTTGGCAATGCACAGGCCCTTCAATAAAGTGACTTCCCTTATCATTATTTAGAACAGCTAGGTTATTTAACAGGCACCCAAAATCTGGCTATATTTTATTTAAACTAGAGGAAGAAACATGATTTTTATAGAATTAATGAAGTAACATATATAAATCGCCTGGAATAGGAATGAGCACTGAAAACATGTTTATTATTCCTTCGTCCTTTTAATTTTCCAAATTAAAAAAGATAGCGTCTTTCCATTATATATATCCAGCAGGTATTCCCTCCTACCTCCCTTCCTCTAGCAGTAAGGAGTTGAGATTAAAATTTAAACATCTTTCACATTTTCATTATACAAGAGTGTGTGTGTGAAGTTTTTGTCTGTGGGACACAAAGGGTTGGGGGCGGGAAGTGTCTGTGCATCTTGGGCAGTTTTATCTTTGTGTAGTCATGTGATAGAACATAATTCCTTTCCATATTCCTCCAAATGCAATCAGTGTCAATAAACTACATGCAAGGCTACAAAAGGAAATTAGTGGAAAATTAGAAAATTTCTTGCAGGTAATAAGTCCTTTGTGTCATTTTTAAATTTAGATTTTCTTTTTAATTTTTTAAGTTTTTTGTGGATACATAGTAGATGTATATATTTATGGGGTACATGAGATATTTTGATACAGACATATGATACATAATAATCTCATCATGGTAAATGGGATATCCATCACCTCAAGCATTTATCTTTTCTTTGTGTTAAAAACAATACAATTATAATCTTTTAGTTATTTTAGAATGTACGATAAATTATTGTTGAGTGTGTAGTCACCCTGTTCTGCAATAAAATACTAGATCTTATTCATTCCAACTTTAATGTGGTATCCATTAGCCATCCCCACTTCTCCTCCATCCCCACACCAGTGTCCTTCCCAGCCTCTGGTAACCATCATTTTACTCTGTACCTTCATGAGTTCAATTGTTTTATTTATTTTTTTTTAGCTCTCACAAATAAATGAGAATGTGTGAAGTTTGTCTTTCTATGACAGTGGCTTACCTAACTTAACATAATGATCTTCAGTTTCATCCATGTTGCTGCAATGGCAGGTTCTCTTTCCTTTTTAAGGTTGAATAGTACTTTTTTTCTTAGAGACAGTGTCTCAATCTGTCACCCAGGCTAGAGTTCAGTGGTGTGATCATGGCTTATTGCAGCCTTAATAACCCAGGCTTCCACAATCCTCCCATGTTAGCCTCTGAAATTGCGAGGATCGGAGGAACATGCCACTGCTCCAGGCTAATATTTTTACTTTTGTAATGATGGAGTCTCACCACATAGCCCAGGCTGGTCTTGAACTCCGGAGCTCAAACTATCCTCCCATCTCCATCTCCCAAACAGCTGGGATTACAAACTTGAGCCACCATGCCTGGCCCACATTTTCTTTTTCCATTCATCTGTTGATGGACACAGGTTGCTTCCAAATCTTAGCTATTGTAAACAGTGTTGCAATAAACATGTGACTTCAGATATCTCTTCAATATATTGATTTCCTTTCTTTTGAGTATATACTTAGCAGTGGGATTGTGAGACCATATGGTCGTTCTATTTTGAGTTATGTGAGGAAACTCCAAATTGTTCTCCATAGTGGTTGTACTAATTTACATTCCCACCAACAGTGTGTGAGTGTTCCCTTTTCTCCATATCTTTGCCAGCATTTGTTATTGTTGGTCTTCTGGACATAAACCATTTTAGCTGAGGTGAAATGATATCTCATTGTAGTTTTGATTTACATTTCTCTCATGATCAATGATATTGAGCACCTTTTCATATGCCTGTTTGTCATTTGTATCTCTTCTTTTGAGAAATGTCTATTCAGATGCTTTCCCCATTTTTAAATTAGATTATTAGAGTTTTTTATTAAGGAGTTGTTTGAGCTCCTGATACATTCTTCTTACTAATCCGTTGTCACATAGATAGTTTGCAAATATTTCTCTCATTCAGTAGGTTGTCTCTTCACTTTGTTGATTGTTTCTTTTGCCTTGAAGAAGCTTGTTAACTTCATGTGATTCCATTTGTCTATTTTTGCTTTGGTCACTTGTGTTTGTAGGGTATTACTCAAGAAACCTTTGCCAAGTCCAATGTCCTGGATAATTTCCCCAAAGTTTTCTTCTAGTAGTTTAATAGTTTAAGGTCTTAGATTTAAGCCTTTAATTCATTTTGATTTGATTTTTGTAAATAGCAAGAGATAGGGGTCTAGTTTCATTCTTCTGCATATGAATATCCAGTTTTCCAAGCACTATTTATTGAAGAAACTGTCAAAAAGAGACTCAATACAGTGTTTCCTCATTGTATACTCTTGGCACTTTGTTGCAAATAGTTTCATTGTAGATGTATGAATTTATTTCTGGTTCTCTATTCTGTTCCATTGGTCTGTGTTTGTTTTATGCCAGTACCATGCTGTTTTGGTTACTATAGTTCTGTAGTATGATTTGAAGTTAGGTAATGTGACTCCCCCAGTTTTGTTCTTCTTACTCAGGATAGCTTTGGCCATTCCGGGTCTTTTGTACTTCCATTTAAATTTTGGAAACTGTTTTTTCTATTTCTGTAAAGAATGCCATTGGTATTTTGATAGGGTATTTAGATTTTTCACCACTTGCTTTTGTGAAGATAAAATGCATTCACAATTCCTTTCAGCTCAGACACATAAAGGAGTTGAAAACATTGAGTGTCTCACTTTCACAGAAGTGCCCATTGGATGCAGGTTTTTAGAGAGCTAATGGGGCCTGACTACACCTAGATTCTGTACATCACCTAACCATGTGGAAAAGAAAAGGCAAAGATCAACAACTTTCATGACTGTGCCTGAGACTCCTGACAAGGCAGGAAAACTAAGGGCAACTTCAACTCAGCCATCCAGGATAAGATGAAATCAAGTAAGAAAGATCATCAAGCACTTAAGAGCTGTGATGAAATGCTCTATCTGGATGCATTTTTAAAATAAAGCCAGTTATAAATCACTATTACAATGCTTCTGAACAGCATCAAAATACAATCACTGTGAACAGGTTTTCTGTAAATGAGAAGTGACACATGAGAGCTTAGTTCATAAGTTCTCAAGACAATATTCTTAACACTCTCATGTTTCCATACCCTTTATTTGTTTGGTCATTTATCCTGCTCCATGCCACTTAGGAAAAGAGAAAATAGGCAGTCTGTTTTAGGAACTCCTTGCTAAACCAAATATCTATCCTCTACTTTCTATCCCAGAGTAAATACCTTAGCAGAGGCATGCATCATTTCTTCTTCTATTGTTCAGAAAGAACCAGGAAACATAATGAGGATTACATTGCTTGCATGATAATCAAGAATTATAGTAATGAAAAATCTCTTAAAGGCGTCTAAAAACTCCATCTACAATTTGTTAGAATAAACAAACACATAGACAAACAAAGTTTGACCATTTGTAAAAATTATAACCAGCACTTATTTGAATGTGTACAATGTATTAGTCATTGTGCAAATTATTATTTGTTTTAATTAGCAACCATACTATGAAGTCCCTATAGCATGGGTATGTTATTACCCTCATTTTATAGATGAGAGAACTGGGTTATGCAAATAGCAAATATTACATCGAAGATTACACAATCCATTTATTAAACGATCATGACTTACAGCCTCAAACTTCAATAGTTTTTAGTTGTGACAATATCATCCTGTAGGGGATATTTTGGAAAATAGTGTGATGGTATTCTATTTTGTTTATTTGGTTAGTTGGTTTGGTTTGATTTTTTGTTTTTTTATGTAATATTTGAGTAAGGCACTGCTGTCTATAGCTGATGAAGGAAAGGATGTTTAGCATCTTGCAATGTGTGGGACCACTGAAACCAGGAAAAAAAAATTGTCCTATGTCTCAGCAGACACTCATGTACATAAATTTTTTAAAAGTACATATAAATGATTTGAGCATAGCAACAAACTACTTAAAATACTTTAGCATGGATTAAATAAGCATCACATTTTCATGGTTTGGGACTGGTACTCTGGTCCCTTTTTCAAATTTTCACAAAAGTCATTCACCATTTCATCATACTAAAAATACCATGCTTTAATTTTGTTTAGATTGTGTTTAATCTACATCAATTTGGGAAGAACTGATATTTGGCAATATCCCATCTTCCAAAAGTTGAAAAGTCTATATCTCTGCACTTATTTAGGTTTTAGTTTATTTTTCTTAACAATTATTTTTAGTATTATCAGATAAATTTAGGATATAAATTATCAATAATAAATGTTCTAGTGGCTGTTTTAAAATGTCAATTTCCAATCAATTGTTAGTAGTTTAGAGAAAGAAAAGGTATTTTTCTATTTTGATGTTATATTCTACAATCTTACTAAATTCACTAATTTTGTCTAGAAGCACTTTGTAGATTCTTGGATCATTGCATAGAAGCTTGGAGTTGAAATTCTTACTTTTTTTCAAATTTCATCCTGAAAGCATTGCTCTTCTACTATTGCATATGATATTCGCTGTTGGTTTTTCAAAAAGCCCTTTACTGAGTTGAGAACATTTCCCTCTATTCTTTTTTATGGACATTTTAATCATGATTGATGATTCATCATGTAGTATAATTACCTGATACAGAAAAATAAAATATTTCTTAATAATAAATAATTTTTCTCTATTTTAAATTTTTATTTGTACTATTATTGTTATTTTATCCCTGCTTTCGTTGGATTTTATTTTCTCTCTTCTTTCTATACATTTAAAGTTTGAATCTTAGGTAATTGATTTGAAATGCTTCTTCTTCACTACATGAACATTTAATATGCATAATTCCAGTCCCACTATGGTGATGTAAACCCAGTAGAGCCTACTTCTTCCCCTAATTGCATCTAAAAACTCTAGAAAACATATTAACAGACTTTGTTTCTATTTCTCCCTCAACAGCATTGTACCTTTACCTGGGACCAGTGACAGAAAGGTTTCCTGTCCCTCCTAGGGACAGAATGTAGGCTGCTATTCCTTGTTACTCAGTATGAGGCTCATGGTGGAGCAAGGGGATTTGATACTCCACCTAATGAGGAAGATAGCTTTTGCTTCTACTCCTCCCCTAGAGCCTGTGGATATTTGCTTAGGCCCCTGGGATGGAAACATTTCCTTCTTTACCCCAGTGACCCTTCATTCTCTCATTGAAGGGTCTACAAACAAGGCAGGTTTGCACACCTGTGTATTACTAAGGAGGACTATTTTAGGTATCCTGCCATCCTTTCAATCTTACTGTCCTTTGTATCTGAAACTCCCAGATATTCTAAATTTCCATGGTAGTCCACACATGGTCCTTAAGAAATCCTTACATTTTCAGCTGTTTCCTCCTTCTCCAATTTTATAGCAGCTGCTCCTTCCTGCTGTGTTCTGACAAAGGAAAAAAGCTTGTGCAACCTATTTCTCCTAGGAGAGAGCTGTCACCCTTGGAATTTATTTTACATAGTCACCTAGCAATTTCATATTTTTTATGGGCTGAGCAAAACTTGCAACCTTGAATACTATCCAGACTTTTTATTAAGGAGTAAGTTCTACTGAGGATTTCTACATACAAAATGGAAGCGAAACTACTCTACTGATTTATTTAAAAATTATGTGGATAGGCTGGGTTCAGTGGCTCATGCCTATAATCCCAGAACTTTGGGAGGCTGAGGTGGGCACTTGAGGGCAGGAGTTCGAGACCAGCCTGGCCAACATGGTGAAACTCCGTCTCTACGAAAAATACAAAAATTAGCTGGATGTAGTGGCACATGCCTGTAATGCCAGCTACTCGGGAGGCTGAGGAGAATTACTTGAGCCCAGGAGGCAGAAGCTGCAGTGAGCAGAGATTGCTCCACTGCACTCTAGCCTGGGCGACAGAGAGAGACTCCATCTCAAAAATAAAAATAAAAATAAATTAAAATAAAAAATGAATTTAAAACATTATGTGTATAGGTAGATCAGCTTGGGAAAGTCATTCCAAGTTAGTAAAATGGTCCAAAATCTGTTTTATAAATTTTTATTGTCATATTTGATGAAACTGGGAACACTAATCTATAGGAAACTCTTGAAAAACCTCCGTGAGTCATTGCCACATATAATCCATGTTATACATTATTATTCTAAAGGGGTAACCTCGGCCGGGCGTGGTAGCTCACGCCTGTAATCCCAGCACTTTGGGAGGCCTAGGCGGGCGGATCACGAGGTCGGGAGATGTAGACCAGCCTGGTTAACACGGTGAAACCCCGTTTCTACTAAAAAAAATACAAAAAATTAGCCGGGCGTGGTGGCCGGCGCCTGTAGTCCCAGCTATTCAGGAGGCTGAGGCAGGAGAATGGCATGAACCCAGGAGGTGGAGCTTGCAGTGAGCAGAGATCATGCCACTGCACTCCAGCCTGGACGAAAGAGCGAGACTGCCTCTCAAAAAAAAAAAAAAAAAAAAAAAAAAAGGAAGGGGTAACATGGATTCAAATCCCTAATTATTGGCTACAAAGGAATTCACCAGAACAAGGGTGAATAGTCCATTTGTTAGCATAGCACTATGTTAACTTCCAGTTTGTTATTTTTTTAACGCAAATAGCGTAAACACTATTATATTCTTCCAAACACATGCTCCAGAACAATGGAAACATTAATAGTTTCCTCACCTTTCACAGAACTGTCCAAGAAGAATCAGACAGACCCTGTGGATTTACTTGGGGTTTTTAATCCCTTTCCCTAAGAGAAAAATACGGTCAACCTTTATATGCTGAAAATCTCACCTTTCCTACAGTCCTTGAAAACATTATCCTATACAATACTTTTCTTTTTGTGAGGGCTGGTAACATTAAGTACTTAGGTGAGGTCACGCATTAAGTAAGAGAACTAACACCATCAGATCTCATCTTTTATACTCATTGAACCACAATTAACATGTCAGGGGTATATATAAAGCTTATCACCTACAAGTAACCATTCTTAATTAAATGCATATTCATAAGCCAAATGATCACTTATAAAGCTGTGAGATTTAGCAACTGATCTAGAAAGGCCACTAAGAATTCATTTTTATAAAATATAAGAAGTATTTTAATTGATTATCATGTAATTAAAACAATGACCTATGACCAATTGATAAGTAATTCCAAATGTCCAAGAAATGTCCAGCTAATGTCTCTTAATGTGGAATCAGAAACATAACCCAGAAGATTAGAATCAACCTAATTGAATTAAAAGATAAGAGCAAATCTCTTTTTAATTCTCCATACAAATTTATCATAGATTCATACATTCTATAAGTAACATCTTAAAAGTAGAATCTCCATCAATTTTATTGTTATTACAAAGAAGACATTCTAAAAACAAGAATTAGGGAGTCTGATTATTTCCACAGAGGCAATGGGAATGGCTATTTAAAAAGTATACAATGCCACCTCCTGCATCTCAATGTCTGATATGGTTTGGCTGTATGTCTCCACCCAAATCCCACCTTGAATTGTAATTCCCATAATCCCCTCATGTCAAGGGCAGGACCAGGTGGAGGTAATTGAATCATGGGGCAGTTTTCCCCATACTGTTCTCATGATAATGTGTGAGCATCATGAGATCTGATGGTTTTTAAGCGTCTGGCATTTCCCCTGCTTGCACTTCTCCTTCCCGCTGCCCTGTGAAGAAGGTGCCTTGCTTCCTCTTTGTCTGCCACCATGATTGTAAATAACCTGAGGCCTGCCATCCATGCTGAACCATGTATCAATTAAATCTCTTTCCTTTATAAGTCACCCAGTCTTGGATATGTCTTTATTAGCAGCATGAAAATGAACTAGTACAATGTCCAAAGATGAAATATGAGTTTTTGTGTACAGGAAAGAGTAGTTGTACTATTACCAGGCCAATACAAAAACAAACAAAAAAAAATGATGTATTGGTGGATATTTGTCTAGGCCCCTGGGATGGAAACATGACTGCTGCAGCAAATTACTACAACTTTGGTGGCTTAAAAAAGCAGAAAATTATTCTTTCACAACTGTGGAAGCCAGAAGCCGGAAGCCTGAAATCAGCATCAGGCCCCAATCAACCAAAGTGTCAGCAGAGATGTGCCCTCTACAGAGGCTCTAGAGGATAATTTGTTCCTTACTTCTTCCAGCTCCTGGAGTCTGCTCCCATTCCTTATTTTGTGGCCACATCACTTCAATCTCTGCCTCCTTTCACATTGCCTTTTTTTCTGTGTATGTCAGATGTCCCTCTGCTTTGCTTTTATAAAGACACATGTGATGATATTTTGGGCCTGTCTGGATAATTTAGGATAATCTTCCCATCTTAAAATCATTAATTTAATCACACCTGCACAGAACTTTTTTTTTTTTCTAAATAAGGTAACATTTACAAGTTCCAGGGAATGGGAACTGCTATATTTAGAGGTGATCGTCAGCCCACTACAGAAGACAAGACATAGATCAGAGAGCATAGCTCTTGTGTATAGCAATAAATAGCTTATTTCCTAATTTCTCAGTAATGAAACAGTTGCACTGGGCAACCTTTATGTTTACCACAACTGTGAATTGAGATTTCTTTCAAAGTAGCTGTCTAATACAGTTTCAAAATTGATGTGAGTTTGCCTATTTTCCACCACTATGATCTTACGATGGCGTGAATTGATATGCCTAGAGTGAGCACAAAAGCAGTTATAATTTGTGTCTTGTTTCCTTAAAAATCTTGCCTTCACACATGAGATAGAGTAAATAAAAGCAAATAGTCATAATTTGGAATTTTAGACTTGAATATCAGACTATAACTACTACATTTATTTTATATAGAAAGAATTCCATCACATTTAATTTATTGATGTTTACTCATCAAATAAATAATAATATACCTTTAAGTTTTGTTTACTGGGAAGTTTTAGATTTGCATGGTGTCTCAGGATCATCTAATGGAAAACCTTGGTTTATATAGGTTAAATGGAAGTCTGGTAAGTGTGGTGGACCAGCCAAGACCAAATGAATAAATAGATGCCAAGCTTCAATGCCTAGAGCACTATCATTTTCACTATTCTACTTTTTCCTCTCCCATTGATTCAAGGAAATTTCCCTTGGAATTCCTTGAAGTCTCCTTACCAAAAACCTTTGGTGGAGTCTTTAAAAAACACTTGGAGGAGAGAATGGACTGGGTTATAAGGATCTAAAATCCTAGAAATTTTGTAAACTGAGAAATCTCTGCGATCATAGCCCAGCTAATTGAAAATAAAATAATTAGTAATATATGAAACATATACTAATTATACATACTAGTTAAACATATGACACAATGTATAACCTGAATTGATTACAAAGTTAAAAGATTAGATATATTTTGTTTCAATACAGACATTTGCACAAACAAGTTGTGTTAGATTGAACAGGACATTCAATTCCTCTCAATGTTAGAACATTCAATTGCAAAATGTATATATTGATGCTTATTTAGTAGCTCAATACAAAGAGCTCACTGAGATAACACTTGAGAAAGTATTTTGTTAGCTATAAACTGTTAGCAAATGTAAACTACAAATTGTGGTCTACAGAAGAATGCAACATCTAAGAATCGAAAACTAAATTATGGCTTCTGACTTTGTGACTTAAAGCTATATAACTTTACCTCTCTCACTTCCAACTTTCCAATCTTTAGAAGAAGATATGACTAACGCAGGAACAGAAAACCAAGTACTGCCTGTTCTCACTTATAAGTAGTAGTTAAATGATGAGAACATATGGGCACATAGAGGGGAACAACAGACACTGGGGTCTACTGGAGGGTGGAGGGTGGAAGGAGGGAGAGGATCAGGAAAAATTACTAATGGTTACCAGGCTTAATACCTGGGTGACAAAATAATCTGTAAACAAAACTCCATGACACAAATTTACCTATATACCAAACCTGCATATGTACCCCTGAACTTAAAAGTTACAAAAAAGATATGATTTCTCCCTCAATTTCAGAATTTTTGCTAAGTCAATGCAGCAGTATTTCAAAAAGTACACTGTACATTGAAAGATTTCCTGGAAATACTTTATAATAATTCTTCATGATAATGTTGATGATAATGACATAATGACTGATGTTCATCATGTAGAGTAATTCTCTGATATAGAAAAAGAAAATATTTCTTAATAAAACTGGTATTTTATGATATAAAAATATGTAAATAAATAAAAGTCAATCAGAAGATCCTTACACACATTTGTCCTTTAGTAACACTTAATGGATGAAGTATAGAGATGAATTCACTATTAAAATTATTCACAGTTCAGATATCTATGCTTTAATATGATATCCACCAAACATTATATAGTTTTCCTGAATTACATTCTCGATTTAATAAAAAATTTCTGTATTTATATGACTTGTTGATTTGTGTTTGTTCATTGGCTTTTTTAAAGATATTAGGATGAGCAAACATTTTTAAGCATTATTCCACATCAGTTGGTTTCCAACCATTTTTTTTTCCTGTGCACAAATTTAATATTTATTTTAAAGCATTAGCTGACTTCTCTTAAATATCTTACCATTAAAGAAGCTGAACGTTAGTTCTGTCAACAATCACTTTGTTCTCCATCTCAGAATTTTACTTTAGGAAAGAAGAAAAAATGCAGCTAGACTAAATTTGTTAGTGAACATTCAATTGGATAAATAAGATCTGTTAACATATTAGAAAACAGGCAGACTCATTGGGATATGAATACATTTTAAATTGTATTATTTACTGTGGTAAAAAGCATGACTCTTTAAATAAGTGGCAGATTTGAAATACATTAGATGCAAGCAAGCATTTTTGTATATCCAGTAAAATATAATTTGGGAATTCGTTTCCTGAAATATAATAAATTCTATTCCTTTGTGAAGTTATGATATATGTGCTGTTTATTTGACATTGCATCCAACTTAATTTGACTCTGTAGAAATCCCCAAAATTATTTATTTGTTTATATTTGTAAACTTCATCTAAGCAATAAACCAGCCCATATGGCATCCCAATAGGACCTTGAAGTGACAGTGAGACTATAAACAGAATAGATTAAATTTGCATTGTGCGTATTTGCAGTTTTAGTCTTTGCCAAAATAGAGAATTAAGTTTATTGGAACATTCTTTTATCATACTTAGCAGCTGAAAGATGAATTTGAATTTCTAGCACTTATATACAGCCTACCCTGTGAAATATAAAACTATTTCAAATAGGAAGTGGATCAAAAATTACAATTTGGTGGAGTCACAAATTACAGTTAAACAAGTTAACATTCACTCTCCAACTTAATTATTTTATCTAAATGTATTTTTATTTTAGTCTGATAATCAACGTATCTATTATTTACTTTTTATTTTACAGAGGTCTAATTTGAGTGAAAGCTAATCATGAATTTGACCTATAACCTACTTTCACATATATTATTATATGTAATCATCTAAATATTCATATGAATAAGGTAGGACATATATTACTGTTCCTATTTTCTCAAGCAAACACCGAAACTCAGATAGTTACTGATTTGTGCAAGGTGGGCAACTAACTAGGCAGAGCCCAAATACTATTCCATATCATCTGATTTCAAATCTTTTTAAATTTTTCATCTTTTCATTCTCACGGCTGCCTGTCAGTGCTCAATTATTTTCCATATAAGAATGAAGAGGGGAAGGGCAAGCAAAATAATAATAATAAAAATAATCCTATATTGGCTCTATCTACAAATTTATATTTCTCTTTTCTGTAAAATACAAGTTTCAAGAGAGAAATTTCCTCAATTGCTGCGTTTAACTGTCTTCCATATACTCTTCAAGATACTACACTCAGGTACCACTTTAGTGATTTCCTAATTACCAAATGCTTTTTTTCACCCTATTTTATGTGACTTATCTGCAGCATTTCACACCTTATCGCTCTCTTCCTCTTGAAGTTTCCTTCTCTGGCCTCTGCTTCACCACTGTTTTTGACTGTTGGTGCTTCCCCTTTGACTCTCATCAATATTCACATTGCATGTTCTCTCAATTATTTCTTGCATTTGTATGTCAACAGCTACCACCTAGAAACTAGTAACTCAGTGGCAGAAATAATTAACTAAAATTCATGATCTCTCAATCGAATACAGTGTTGTCAACTAAGATACAGGTATGCAGCTGGGTTCTTATTTCCCAGCTCTATGAGAAACACTGCCAATGTCACCTGAGTGCATACATAGTATCTTCTTGGCTTTTAACTAGATGTGGCTTCTCCAAGTACTTGTTCCTCTTAGAATGACCTTTCCACACCTCTGACTCTCATCCAACTCCATGCTGTTGGCAAATGCCTATTTGACCTTTAAGACTCAGTTTGGGGCCATCTTTCCAACGCATACTTTCATTGCCAGTAAAGCATTCTTGGGATCATCTATCTTGGTTTCTATTTCACTTTAGTAGTTGCTTGTATTATTATATTATACTATAAGCTTTTCAAAGTCAACGATCACATATTAATTAGTGTTTCATCCCCATCATCTAGAATAGTACCTGGTACATAATAAAAATTAAATACTTGTTTGTTATATCAATGAATGCTTTCCTACAGCTATTTCTGGTACCATAGTATGGACTCCCTAATGTAACCTGAGTAAAAGTGTTGTATGATTTCTTTTGCTGTCTCATACTGTCTCATTCCCCAAATTTTTTATTCCATATAAAATCATATGAGTACTTTTATCTATTAACAGTATGGGGAAGATTCTAGGAATTTGACATTTTTCAAATTACATTTTCAAAATAAGATCTACTGATTAGTGTGAATATACACTCAATGTGTGGTGGAAAATGTAGTGTAGTAAAGGAATGAAATGTCATAAATGCATCATTTCTATTTACATAAGATAACTACAATTATAGGGAACTAGGGAGGTTTTGGGTTTTTTTCCATCACTGCTTAGCACACCTCACATGTATGTTTATATGCCTTTGCCTACTTGCTTCTCAGGACATTTTCAAGAGCGATTTATGGAAGAGAGAAGTTACCATCAGGAAAGGAAGAAATTTAGCCATCCCCAGTGGGTCAAGGAAGACCCACAAAGGAAACAACTGATCATCTTGATCACTTCAACTTTGGATACATTTCTCAGTGGGTCAATTCTTATGATGCTTTTCTTTATCTTATACTGTATCTCTATATTTTATTATCTCCAAAGCATCATCATCAGCTATAATTTTTTAATAATTTGCAATGAATTTTTAACCAATTGATGCAATTAATAATTACGAAGAAAATCTACTCATTCTGTTTAGTACTAAATGTATCTATCTATATTAATTTATGCAAAAAATATGTAAGGATACTGTGCATATAAAAGTCTATTTCATAAATGCTATCGATAACTGCCTTGTTAGTAACCCATTTTTTATGAGATGACAAAGAATCCTCAGAATAAATTCTGATGGTTTCCTTATGGCAGTGTGACTTTGATATACAACAAACGCTGGGATTTATTTGAGCCTTGTGATGAGAAATGAGTTTAGATGGAACAGTTAATCTTATGTTTATCTCTTCACTACTCAGAGCTCTAGATTTTAGATGATTTATCTTGCAGCCAGTTCTAATTCCAGTTGGATGAGAATGCTCCAGGTGAATGGGAAAAAGTTTACTGCACCTCAAAGTTCAGCAGTCCATTTGTTTCATCTTGTTGCCCATTTCCTAAGTGGTTCTGTTGGACGTTATGGCTTTGGAAGCATAAATCTGTTATATAATTAGAGCTTCGTGTATCTTATGACATATATCTTCACTTTGCAGCATTGCCCCTTCAAAAGCACTCTTCCCCATCTTTTTTTAAATCGTGTTTCGGTCAAAATTCACTATTTGGTAGCTTTTCAATTGATGAGTATTTGGTGTCCCCAACAATACTGCCAAGCTTATATGAACTGTGCCTGAGGCAATCTGATAGGAATCCTGTTTACATATGTTCATACTACCTATTTTATTTTTCAGGTGAGCAATACATTCGTATTTTAATCAGATAAAATAGCTATTTGCCAAAATTGAAAAAATAACTTCAGTTTTCTATCAGTTCAATTGCATTAGATGCAAATAACAGATTAGTTTATTTAAACTGTCTAACAACGATGGCAAGTTATATGTCCATGTAAGTGTATGTCCTGAGGTAAGGCTTCAGACAAGTACAATCTTGTAGCTCAGTGATATTACCAAAAACCCTGGTTGTTTCTATCCATTTCCTCATTTTCCCCATCAATTTTGCCTTATCCTAGTGGTGGTTACCCTGAGTAGGCAAAGATAATAGTCAGAAATCTCCAGGACTACAAGTTTCCTGGTTCATCGGCAGTGAGAAAGGGATTGACAGTCTGTTCCCAGGATTTCCAGCAATCTATGAACAGTCCACCCTGAACAAAAAGACTTAGGTCTGTGTGCACAACTAAATCTACAGCTTAGGGGATTATAAAATGTGGATTGGTGTACTCTTTTGTTGCTGCATTCCTAAATCAGTAACTCTAGCCCCCGCCCCAAAAATGAAATCCAGCCCTTTGCAACAACATGGATGGAACTGATGATCATTATATTAAGTGAAATAATCCAGGCACAGAAAGATAAACTCACATGTTATCACTTATTTTGGAGATCTAAAAATCAAATGAATTGAACTCATGGACACAGAGACTAGAAGGATGGTTTTAAGAGGCTGGGAAGGGTAGTGGGGAATTGGAGGGGAAGTGGGGATGGTTAATGGGTATAAAAACTTAGAAAGAATGAGTAATACCTACTATTTGATAACACAATAGGGTGCCTATAGTCAATAATGACTTAATTGTATATTTTAAAATAACTTAAAGAATATAATTAGATTCTTTGTAACTCAAAGGAAAATGCTTGAGAGGATGGATCCCCCATTCTCCAGGATGTGCTTATTTTCCATGCATGCTTGTATCAAAACATCTTATGTATGCCAAAAATATATACACCTACTATGTACCCACAAAAAATTTTAAATATTATTTTTAAATTCTTTATTTCCATGGGTTTTGGGGAAACTGGTGGTATTTGATTACATGAATAAGTTCTTTAGTGGTGATTTGTGGGATTTTGGTACACCCATCACCCCAGCAGTATACAACGAACCCCATTTGTAGTCTTTTTTCCCTCACACCCCTCCCACCCTTTTGCCTAAGTCACCAAAATCCATGTATCGTTCTTATGCCTTTGCAACCTCAAAGCTTAGCTCCCTCTTATGAATGAGAACATATGATGATTGATTTTCCATTCCTGAGTTACTTCACTTAGAATAATAGTCTCCAGTTGCATCCAGGTTGTTGCAAATGCCATTAATTAGTTCCTTTTTATTGCTGAGTAATATTCCATGGTGCATATATATATATATATATATATATATATATACACACACACACTTTTTTTCTTTATTCACTCATTGATTGCTGGGCACTTAGTTCGGTTCCATATTTTTGCAACTGCAAATTGTGCTGCTATAAATATGCATGTGTGTTTATCTTTTTCATATAATAACTTATTTTTATTTGAGTAAATACCCAGTAGTGGAATTGCTGGATCAAATGGTAGTTCTACTTTTAGTTCTTTAAGGACTCTCCACACTGTTTTCCATAGTCTTTGTACTAGTTTACATTCCCACCAGCAGTGTAGAAGTGTTCCCTTTTCACCACAACCACACCAACATCTACTGTTTTTAATTTTTTTTTATTATGGCCATTTTTGCAAGAGTAAGGTATTGGGAACAGGCCCCCCCAAAATCTGGCCATAAACTGGCCCCAAAACTGGCCATAAACAAAATCTCTGCAGCACTGTGACATGTTCATGATGGCCATAATGCTCACGCTGGAAGGTTGTGGCTTTACTGGAATGAGGGCAAGGAATACCTGGCCCACCCAGGGCCGAAAACCACTTAAAGGCATTCTTAAACCACAAACAGTAGCATGAGCGATCTGTGACTTAAGGACATGCTCCTGCTACAGATAACTAACCCAAGTCATCCTTTTATTTCAGCCCTTCCCTTTGTTTCCCATAAGGGATACTTTTAGTTAATCTAATATCTATAGAAACAATGCTATGACTGGCTTGTGGTTAATAAATACATGAGTAAATCTGTTTGAGGCTCTCAGCTCCGAAGGCTGTGAGACACCTGATTTCCCACTTCACACCTCTATATTTCTGTGTGTGTGTCTTTAATTCCTCTAGCGCTGCTGGGTTAGAGTCTCCCCGACCGAGCTGGTCTTGGCAGTAAGGTAGTATCATATTGTGATTTTGATTCTCATTTCCCTGATCATTAGTGATATTGAGCATTTTCTCATATATTTGTTGGCCATTTGTATATCTTCTTTTGAGAATTGTCTATTCACATCCTTAGCCCACTTTTTGATGGGATTGTTTCTTTCTTTCTTGCTAATTTGTTTGAGCTAGTTGTAGATTCTGGATATTAGCCCTTTGTCAGATGTGTAGATTGTGAAGATTTTCTCCCACGCTATGGGTTTTCTGTTTACTATTCTGACTGTTTCTTTTGCTGCACAGAAGCTCATTAGTTTAATTAAGTCCCATCTATTTATCTTTGTTTTTGTTGCATTTGCTTTTGGGTTCTTGGTCATGAAGTCTTTGCCTAAGCCAATGTCTAGAAGGATTCTTCCAAAGTTATCTTTTAGAATTACATAGTTTCAGGTTTTAGATTTAAGTCTTTTATCCATCTTGGGTTGATTTTTGTATAAGGTAAAAGATGAAGATCCAGTTTCATTCTCCTATATGTGGCTTGTCAATTATCCCAGCACCATTTGTTGAGTAGAGTGTCCTTTCCTCACTTTATGTTTTTGTTTGCTTTGTTGAAGATCAGTTGTTGTAAGTATTTGGGGTTCTTTCTGGATTCTCTGTTGTGTTGCATTGGTCTATGTGTCTATTTCTATACCAGTTCCATATTGTTATGATGACTATGGCCTTGTAGTATAGTTTGAAGTCAGGTAATGTGATTCTTCCAGATTTGTTCTTTTTGCTTAGTCTTGCTTTGGCTATTTGGGCTCTTTTTTTGTTCCATATAAATTTTAGGATTGTCTTTTTAGTGTGTGAAGAATGATGGTGGTATTTTGATGGGAATTGCATTGAATTTGTAGCTTGTTTTTTGGCAGTATGGTCATTTTGACAATACTGATTCTACCCATCCATGAGCATGGGATAAGTTTTCATTTGTTTGTGTCATGTATGATTTCTTTCAGCAGTGTTTTGTAGTTTTCCTTGTAGAGGTCTTTTATCTCCTTGATTAAGTGTATGCCTAAGTATTTTATACATTGATGCAGCTATTGTAAAAAGGGGTTGAGTTATTGATGTGATTCTCAGCTTGGTTGCTGTACGTATATAGCAGAGCTACTAATTTGAATCCTGAAACTTTGCTGAATTCATTTATCAGTTCCAGGAGCTTTTTGGAGGAGTCTTTAGGGTTTTCTAGGTATATGATCATATCATCAGCAAATAGCGACAGTTTGACTTTCTCTCTTTACCAATTTGGATGCCCTTTATTTCTTTTTCTTGTCTGATTGCTCTGGCTAGGACTTCCAGTGCTATACTGAATAGAAGTGGTGAGAGTGGGCATCCTTGTCTTTTTCCGGTTCTCAGAGGGAATGCTTTCAACTTTTCTCCACTCAGTATTATGTTGGCTGTGGGTTTGTCATAGATGGCTTTTACTACATTGAGATATATCCCTTGTATACCAATTTTGCTGAAGGCTTAAATCATAAAGTGACACCCGATTTTGTCAAATGTTCTTTTTTGCATCAGTTGAAATGGTAATGTGATTTTTCTTTTTAATTCTGTTTATGTGGCATATCACATTGTTTGACTTACATATATTAAACCATCCCTGCATCCCTGGTATGAAACCCACTTGATCATGGTGGATTATCTTTTTGATATGCTGTTGGATTCAGTTAGCTAGTATTTAGTTAAGGATTTTTGCATCTATGTTCATCAGGGATATTGGTCTGTAGTTTTCTTTTTGATGATGTCCTCTCTTGTTTGGGTATTAGGATGATGCTGGTTTCTTAGAATGATTTAGGGAGGATTCCTTCTTACTCTATATTGTGAAATAGTGTCAATAGGATTGGTACCAATTCTTCTTTGAATGTCTGACAGAATTCAGCTGTGAATGCATCTGGCCCTGAATTTTTTTTTTGTTGGTAATTTATTGCCATTACAATCCTGCTGCTTGTCATTGGTCTGTTCAGGGTTTCTAATTCTTCCTGATTTAAGCTAGGAGGGCTGTACATTGCTAAAAGAAGCTCTAAATTTTGAAACAAATCTTGGAAACACATCAAAACAGAACCTCTTTAAAGCATGAATCTCACAGAAACTATAAAACAAAAATACAATAAAAAAGAAACAAGGTATTCAAGCAAAAACTAGCACAGTGAATGGAATAATACCTCACATCTCAATAATAACATTGAATGTAAATTACCTAAATGCTCCACTTAAAAGATACAGAATTGCAGAATGGATAAGAATTTGCCAATCAAGGATCTGCTGCTTTCAAGAGACTCACCTAACACATAAGAACTCACATAAACTTAAGGTAAAGGGGTAGAAAAAGACATTCCATGCAAATGGACACTAAAAGCAAGCAGGAGTAGCTATTCTTATATTAGACAAAACCATCTTTAAATCAACAGCAGTTTAAAAAGACAAAAAGGGACATTATATGATGATAAAAGGCCTTGTCCAACAGGAAAATATCATAATTCTAAAAATACATGCACCTAACAATGGAGCTCCCAAACTTAAAAAACAATTACTACTAGACCTAAGAAATGACATAGACAGCAACACAGTAACAGTGGGGGAGTTCAATACTCCACTAACAGCACTAGACTGGTCATCAAGACAGAAAGTCAATAATGAAACAACAGATTTAAACTGTATCTTAGAACAAATGGACTTAACAGATATTTACAGAACATTCTACCCAACAACTGCAGAATATACATTTTATTCATCAGTGCAAGGGAATTTCCCAAAGATAGACCATTTGACAGGCCACAAAACAAGTCTCAATAAATTTAAGAAAATTGAAATTATTTCAAGATACTGAGACGACAGTGGAATAAAATTGGAAATCAACTACAAAAGGAATCTTCAAAACAATGCAAATACATGGAAATTAAATTAACTGCTCCTGAATGATTATTAGGTCAACAATGAAATCAAGATGGGAATTTAAAAATTCTTTGAAGTGAATCATAATAGTGACACAACCTATTGAAACCTCTGGGATACAGCAAAAGTGGTGCTAAGAGGAAAATTCCTAGCCTTAAATGCCTACATCAAAAAGTCTGAAAGAGGACAAGTAGACAATCTAAGGTATAGGAACTAAAGAAACAAGAACAAACCAAACCCTAAACCAGTAAGAGAAAAGACAAACCAAGATTAGAGCAGAAATAAGTGAAATTGAAACACAAAAATATGAAAGATAAATGAAACAAAAAGTTGGTTCTTTGAAAAGATAAAGAAAATTGATAGACCATTAGCAAGATTAACCGAGAAAAGAAGAGCGAAGATCTGAATAAGCTCAATGAGAAATAAAATAGGAGATATTACATCCAACACCACAGAAATACAAAAGATAATTCAAGGCTATTATGAACACTTTTACATGCATAAAAAAATTGAAAACATGAAATAGATTGACTATTTACCAATCAGTTTTCACTACTGTAAATAAGACATGTCACCAGTCCTATAAAAGTGTCATGGCTGATAATGGTGATAGAATTATTATTTTTAAAATAATCAAATCAGAATATTACAAAATATATGCATACAGAGTGAAAAAAACATAATTATGACAATTTTCATTCTTATGTATGCTTTTATTTGAAAATAGAAATGATTTATTAGCCATTTTTCATAAGTTTATAAATGAGTTACATCCAAATAGAGCGTGTAGATCCTAAAATAGTAATCTCACGCATTCATCTTTTTATCCACCAGAGGACATAATTGCTGTGTGGCAGGGAAGGATTTCACTTAAGAAAGCAGAGAATGGTTTATGCAAGTCCTCCTTTCTTCTCCACTGCAGATATATTTAAGTTGCAAAGCTCATAGAAATACTTGAAATGTAGTTACTTGTTAATTTTTAGAAGTTACAAATTTCTTAATGATTAGGAGGGACAGACATCAACATGGAGAAAATTTAGCTCACCTTCTATTTTGAGGAGCATTGCAACTTAATGATGTCTTTGTGCCTAAAATATTATTACAAATCTTAATGAAATATATATGAAAAACAAAGAAACTATTGGGGTAGCCATGTACTCTGCTTTTTCAATAATGATAGCCTATGACAGCCAGTATCTCTAAACTTCCAATCTAATACACATCTTCATAACAACTTCTGGTTCTCCAATTTATGACGTATTAATGGAAAAAGAAAGTTCTAAATGTCTTGTGTTGTCTCCCAGATTCTACTGAGGATAAATAATGAGAAACTTCTGATAAACAATTTTACCAATATCTTGGTAAAATTAAAACTAATGGAGTACCCATCCATCACATTTAATAAACATTAGTTAAATTCATGTAGACATGTGTGCTTGATACAGCCTTTTGTTTAATAATATTTTATGTCTAAGTATACATAATTATGAAATTAAAATGGGTATAGTTATATGTAAAATACCAAGAGTATAAGGAATATTTTTTTTTTTTTCTCCGAGACGGAGTCTGGCTCTGTCGCCCAAGCTGGAGTGCAGTGGCGCGATCTCGGCTCACTGCAAGCTCTGCCTCCCGGGTTCACGCCATTCTCCTGCCTCAGCCTCCTGAGTAGCTGGGACTACAGGCGCCTGCCATCACGCCTGGCTAATTTTTAGTATTTTTAGTAGAGACGGGGTTTCACTGTGTTAGCCAGGATGGTCTCAATCTCCTCACCTTGTGATCCGCCTGTCTCGGCCTCCCAAAGTGCCGGGATTACAGGCATGAGCCACCGCACCCGGCCAAGGAATAATTTTTAAGTGCTTTTAATTCTATCACCCAAAGGTGCATCTGTTAAGTATTATATTCTTCTTCTATTCCTCATCTCTTCCCTATTTATCTAGCTGAATGAATACAGTAATAGACAGACACATATAAGAGTCTATGAAATCTGATAATGTGAAGTGAGGATTTGTCTTATAGAAAAGGACACTAGAGTTGTACTTGAATTTTCTGGCTTGAGAACTTCACCAGTTGCCTGGCACATAATATCTAAAAGACTTCCAAAAACTTTCCTCTGGAAGCTTTTTATACTTTTCTATAACAGCCTATGGGAACTAGACAAATGACTGTTTTCTTTCACTTCTTTAAATATTCTGCCCATTTAGGCTATTGATCATGAACTACAGTTAAAGCTGTGGTTTGTTTAATAAATATTTGAGTACCTACCCTGTATTAAGTACTGTTCAAGACTATGGACATACAGTGATGAATAAAATGCACATTGTCTATACTGTTGCAGTCAACATTAGAGTCACATTAAACAATTTGGTAGAAATGAGTGGCATTTTAAGAAATTTCTACAATTAATGGTAAAATCAAACTTGCGTCAAGTTCATAAGTCTTCCCTGAGTTAGTTACATCAAGTGTGACACTAATGAGGCAAAAGTGGCTTTATGTATACGTAGTATATAGGTGGGTGGGAAGGAGGCTAGTAGCATGTGATTTACGTAAGGTAGTGTTATATGCAAACGCATTAAGAGGGGAAATAACACAAAAGAAAAAAATGAGTCATTCTAGGTGGAATGTACCTTACAAAGAATTGGGTAAGATATAAACACGGTTTATCTCATTGGACAATGACACATCATGGGCAATGTTAATAATCTGAGGCTTTAATAAAAATAGAGGATAATTGGAGAGTTTTAGACAGAAGAGTAAAATAATCACTATGTTTTTTTATAAGTACCTAATTGTCATGTAAAGTATATTCTTGGCCGGGCGCGGTGGCTCACGCCTGTAATCTCGGCACTTTGGGAGACCGAGGCAGGCGGATCACGAGGTCAGGAGATCAAGACCATCCTGGCTAACACGGTGAAACCCCGTCTCTACTAAAAATACAAAAAATTGACGCCTGTAATCCCAGCACTTTGGGAGGCCGAGGCGGGGGGATCACGCCTGTATTAAATATACAAAATATTAGCTGGGTATGGCGGCGTGTGCCCGTAGTCCCAGCTACTTGGGAGACAGAGGCGGGAGAACCGCTTTAACCCGGGAAGCGGAGGTTGCCGTGAGCCGAGATTGTGCCACTGCACTCCACTCTGGTGACAGAATGAGACTCCGTCTCAAAAAAAAAAAAAAGGAAAAGAAAAAAGAAAATTAGTCGGGCATGGTGGCACCCGTGCCTGTAGTCCCAGGTACTCGGGAGGCGGAAGTTGCAGTGAGCCGAGATCGCGCCACCACACTCCAGGCTGGGTGACAGAGCGAGACTCCATCTCAAAAAAAAAAAAAAAAAAAAAAAGAATATTCTCGAAGGAGAAAGAATGATATATAACTTCACCTAGTCTAGGAGATGGTGTGATAACCAAGGTAAACAATAATAGGAATTAGGATGACAAAAGAAATTCAAATAAATTAATGAACTCACATGATATTTACACAAAGAAGTTGATGTCTGGGTGATTAATTGAATCTAGAGGCTAAGAGTGAGCAAAGCGTCAAATACAAATTTCATGTACTCTAGGAGCAAGGTATTTGTTGAGCTATTTGCTGAGATAGTAAACACTGGAGAAGAAATAAATTGGGGGAGGGTGGGGAATTGTCATCTAATTCTTAGAAAATTTGGCCAGAAACAGGTGTTAAACAGAAAGAGTAAATGTACCTTTATGAGTCAAGAGAAAACTCTGCAATGTAGATATACATTTGGTAATTTTCCATATATGGTTTGCAACTGAATACATGAGAATAAATAAAATTCCCTCTCAGAGATAGAAAGTAGGCCTTAAGTAGAACGTCAAATGATTCTAACATTTAATTACTAAACTCAGATAAATAATACGTTAAAGAAGAAAATTTGAAGGGTAACAGAGAACTTGGTGTTACTCAAGAAAAGGAAAAATAATGTTTAAGAAGGAAATAAACATTGGAATATAGAAGACTATCTGTTATCTGTATGCCAATGACTTTCTAAGAAGAAATAATCATCACAAAACCAAAGACAGTTTGATTTAATACTTAGTTATCCCAATCAGAGCACAATCTAAACAAATATAAAGTCAGACATTACACATGGGAAAATGAAAGCAAACTCATATTCTCAATATGTAATTGAAAGGAAAATACAAGTTTAGACTTTGAAACGATGACTTAGTTCTTCCAGTTTTCAGAACCTGTACCTAAAGCAATACTGTGAAGTTCAGATAAGCAAATAAAGGCTCCTAACTTTTTGTGGGGCAGAGACAAGACAGGGTTGTTATTTTGGAATTGACCTGCACAACCAGATCTTTTCTGAAGATGAGATGTAAATGCATGCAAGTTGCCCATGAACCATATATTAGCAAACAAGGGAAAAGTGTGAGGTCATTTATGGTTTCCTAGAAAAGCGAAGGGATGTCAACAACAAGAAGCGCAAATGAAATTCAGGACTCAAGGAAGGTTCCCAACTGACTACCAGTGTATTCACTCAAGTCAAGAGAACTACAAGAGAGAGGAGCTTAGTCTTAAGGTATCTAGCAGACTACAGCAAGCATAGAGCTTGTGTTCATTGACACCATTTCAAGTGGGGAATATTTCTTTTTTCCCTCTCCTCTGTCTTCAAGTCCTAGTGCCAGAGGCTTAAGACCAGATAGTTACTTGGAAGGAGAATGAAAAGACACCACTCCCCCTGTGCTCAATGTGCGATTACAAGAAGTGGACTCGAAGGAATGGAGAATAATTAGTGGCAAATCAAGTCCAGAATTTTGGTTACTATATTAGAGGAGGCATTTAAATTTTGAATAGGGGCTGGGCTTGAAAATTGAAAAGACTGCCTATTAGTTCAGATTGAGCAAACTGTCATCACTCTGATGATATTTTATCCAGTGGCTACAGAAAAATGTTTCCTACTGAATAAAATGTAAGAGAATGACAGAAAAAAATGACATTTTGTTGGTGACAAAATTTGTATGTATTCAACATAGCACATAAATACATTATATAAAAGTTATAAGGAAAGGAACTAAAGTGTTAAATAATTTATCTTTCAGTATGGTATTGTTGGTGATTTTTATTTTTACTTCATACTTTATTTTCCAAATTATATCTAGGGAGTGTTTTCTTTATATTTTATAACTTAAAATGGAAATTTTAAAAAGTCTACCTAAGTTAATGTTATTTCTGTAAATCATGATTTGGGAGATCATCATATTTATGATGAGATTATTTTATAGCTCTTTAAAAGGCATTAGTACTTCTATTAAAATGTGGATGAATTAAGGGAAATAATGAGAAATTCATAATGAATCAGTTTTGCTATTTTTATAGTTTTGATAAATAAAAAAAGAAAACTAAACATATGGTTCATTTCCTTAGAATTAATCTTCAGGTAGATAGATTTTAGTTCACCATATAAGTATATAATGTTTAATATTTTATGTTATATGCATATAAGTATATAATGTTTAATGTTTAATATTTTGTTATATTTCCAATATATTATTTCCAATTTAAAATGAGACATTAAAAATTGATGAAGTTTTAAAAAGTAATAAAGATTTCTAATGCTAATTATTTTGTTCTATCCACTTTCTCCATCACTGATACTCTTTTCTCCAAAAAGCCAATCACCACAAGATGTTTAAATTCCATTTATTTTCCAGTGTAATTTTTCAGTTAAAAAAAGAAATACAGCTGCCTCAGTTGGACTATCAACTGATGAGTGTCACTGACATCTACAGAAAGTGTTGTCTCCTTCATTCTCTTGCTGATGAATTATGTTAGTTCCCCAAAACAAGCAAAAATAATAATTTCCTATTATTTACAGAACCAATGCATCTTGAAATTATGGTATCTTAAGTCTTATCTCATGAGCTAATTTATTTCTTTTTGGTCATGTATTCTCACTCTAACTGTATTGATGTCATAGCACATTTCTTTTCTTTGCATAGTGTTTGAATGAAATAACTTTTTTCTGTAGCTGAGTAACATTTTGAACAAGAAGCAGCCTACTTCTTATGGTACTAAATAAATGAATTAACGAACAAATTAAATGTCCAACTGCTTAATTAACTGCTATGTTTTGGTCATTGTATTAAAGTAAACAGGCATTAGAGACCACCATTATAATAATGAATGCTTTGGTACCATGATTATTTAGTAAGATACACTTTTAAACAACAATATAACATTTGTAAATATGTATGCACCCAACACTGGAGCACACAAATATATAAAGCAAATGTTGTTAGATCTAAAGAGAGAAATAGATGGAAATACAATCATAATAAAGTTCTTTAAAACTCAACTTTCAACACTGAGCAGAGCATCTAAACAGAGAATAAATAGAAACCTCAGACTTAAACTATATCATAGACCAAATGAACTTAACAGATATTTACAAAACCTTCCATCCAGCCACTGCAGAATACACATTCACCTCAGCTACACATGCAACATTCTTCAGGATCAATCATATGTCAGGCCTCAAAAGAAGTTTTAACAATTGTAAGAAAATAAAGATCATACCAAATATCTTTGCAATCCAGAATGGTATAAACATAGAAATCAACAAGAAAAATTTTAGAAACATTACAAATACATGGAAATTTAAAAACCCATTTCTAAATAACCAATGAGTCAATGAAAAAAATAAAACGAAAATTTAAAAATTCCTTGAGACAAATGAGAATGGAAACCCATCATACCAAGACATATGGGACAAAGCAAAAGATGTTCTAAAATGAAATTTTATAGTACTAAATGCCTATGTCAAAAAAGAAAACAATATTTCTAATAAACAACCTAACCATGCACCACAAGGAACTAGAAAACCAAGAACAAACTAAACCCAAAATTGATAGATGGAAGGAAATAATAAAGCTCATAGCAAAGATAAATAATATAGACTTAAAGAAATTCAAAGATCAACAAAATGAAGAGTTGTATTTTTGATAATAAAATTGACATACCTTTAGCCAGACTAGGGAAAAAAATACAAATAAATGAAATTAGAAATGAAAAAGGAGGCATTAAAACTGATATCACAAAAATATAAAGGTTAATAAAAGACTGTTATTCACATCTATAAACCAACATATTTGAAGACATAGAATACATAGATGAATTATTGAACATGTACAACCTACCAAGATTAAATTACTATGAAAACAAACAAACAAATGAACAAAAAACCTGGAGCAGGCTAATAGTGAGTGAGGAAATTGGACCAGTAAGAAAAAGTCTTTCATCTAAAATAGCCCAGGACTTGATGATCTCACTGCTGAATTTTACCTAACATTTAAAGAACTAATACCATTTCTTCTAAAACTATTCCAGAAAATTGAAGAAAAGGAATTAATCCAAACTTATTTTATGAGATGAGGTCAGCATTATCCTGATTCCAAAACCAGACAAAGACACAGCAAAAAAAAAAAAAAAAAAAAAAGGAACACTACAGGCCAATATTCACGATAAACATAAATGTAAAAATTATCAATAAGATACTAGCAAATAGAATTCAACAGCAAATTAAAAAAATCATCCCCTATAACCAAATGGAATTCATCCTAGGGATGAAAAATTAGTTAAACATACAAAAATCAATAAATGTGATACCCAACATTAATAAAAAGAAAGATGAAAACCAAACCATGTGATCAATAAATGCAGAAAAAGTGTTTGACAAAATTTAATATCCCCTTATGATAAAAACTATCAGCAAATTTGGGTATAGAAAGAACATACCTCAACACAAAGGTCCATATTGACAAACCTACAGCTAACATTATAGTGAATGGGAAAAAGATAGAAGCTTTTTTTCTTTTATCTGGAACAAGGAAAACATGCCAACTTCAATCATTTTTATTCAACATAATACTAAAGGTCCTAGCCAGAGCAGTTTGGCAAGAAAGAGACAAATCAAATAGGAAAGGAGAAAGTCAAATTGTTCCTGTTGGCAGATGGCATAATTTGATATATGGAAAACTCTAAAAATTCCACCAAAATACTGTTAAAACAAATAAAACATCTAGGTAAAGTCACAGGATACAAAATCAACATAAAAAATTAGTAGTATTTCTGTATATCAATAACAAACTACCTGAAAAAGAAATCAAGAAAATAATTCCATTTACAATAATTACAAAAAATAAAATACCTAGAAATAAATTAATTCAAAGAGATGAAAACTATAAAACATTGATGAAAGAATTTGAAGAAGACACAAATTACACAAATAAATGTAATTATATTCCATGTCCATGGGTTGCAAAAATTTATATTTTTATAATTTCCCTACTATCTGATATGGTTTGGATATTTACTCCCTCCAAATCTCATGTTGAAATGCAATCCCTAATGTTGGAAGTGAGGCCTAGTCAGAGGTGTTTGATCATAGGAGTAGATGTCTCAAGAACGACTTAGCATCATCCCTTTTGTGATGAGTGAGTTCTTGTTTTTAGTTTGTATGAAAGCTGGTTGTTTAAAAGAGCCTAGCATTAATTTGTTTCCTTTCCCACTATATGACATGCCAGTTCCGCTTTGCCTTCTACCATGATTCCAAGCTGCCTGAGGCCCTCATCAGAAGCCAAGCAGATACTGGTGCCATGCTTATAGAGCCTGCAGAACTGTGAGCCAAATAAATCTCCTTTCTTTATAAATCGTCCAGTCTCAGCCCAAAGTGATCTACAGATATAACTGCAATCCTTATCAAAATACAAATTACATTCTTCACAGAAAGAGAAGCAAAAACGCTAAAATTCATATGGAACTACGAAAGACCTTAAAAAGCCAAAGTACTATTGAGCAAAAGGAACAAAGCTGGAGATATTACACTATTTGACTTCAAAATATACTACAAAACTATAGTAACAAAAGCAGAATGGTCCTGGCATAAAAACAGACACAGAGACAAATGGAACAGAATAGAGAACTCAGAAATAAATTCATACATTTATCCTAAACTTACTTCTGTTGATATTGCCAAGAACTCATATTGGGGAAAAGGCAGTTTTTGAAATAAACGGTGCTCAGAAAATTGGATATACAACTGTGGAAGAATGAGACTAGACCCTACCTCTCACCATATACAAAAATCAACTCAAAATCTATTAAGAACCCAAACCATAAAAACTAGTAAAAGAAAACACAGGAGATATGCTTTAAAACTTTGAGCTAGGCAGGCAATTGAAAAAAACGACCTCAAAAGCATGGCAACTAAAGCAAAAAGAGGCAAATGGAATTAGGTCAAACTAAAAAGGTTTTGCACAGCAAAGAAAATAATTAACAGAGTGAAGAGACAGCCTACCAAATGGGAGAAAATACTTGCAAACTATACAATTTACAAGGGGTTAATATCCAGAATATATAAGAAACTTAAGCAATTCAACAACAACAACAACAACAACAACAAAAGTAACCCAATTAAAAAGTAAGGAGAAGACCTTATAGACATTTCTCAAACTAAGATATACAAAAGGCCAATGTGTACATTATAAATTCTCAACAACACTAATCATTAGGGCAATGCAAATAAAAGCCACAATGAGATACCACTTCACTCCAGTTAGAATGGCTACAATAAAAAAGACAACAGAAAACAAGGTTTGGTGAGGATGCAGATAACATAGAACACTTAAACATTTTTAATGAGATTGTAAATGGAAAACAGTATGGTGGTACCTGAGAAAATTAAAAATAGAACTATCATACAATCCAGGAATCCCACTACTGAGTATATATCCAAAGGAAATGAAATCAGTATGTTGAAGAGGTATTTGAACTATGATATAAATCAAAACATTATTTACAATAGCTGAGATATGGAATCAACCCAAGTGTCCAAAACTGGATGAATGGATAAAGAAAATTTGGTGTGCATACGCAATGGAATACTATTCAGCGATAAAAAAAGATTGATATCTTTTTATTTGCTACAACATGGATGGACCTGGAGGACATCATGTTAAGTGAAATAAGCCAGACACAAAAAGGCAAATACTACATGATGTCACTTACATGTGGAATATTAAAAACAAGAAAAAGAAAAAAAAAGAGACGATATAATAAAAGCAGAAAGTAGAACTATGGTGTATTGGTCTGTTTGTGTTGCCATAAGGGATTTTCTGAGACTGGGTAATTTATAAAGAAAATAGGTTGATTTTGTTCACAGTTCTGCAGGCTGTACAAGCATGGAACCAGCACCTGCTCAGCTCCTGATGAGGCCTAATGAAGATTTTACTCATGGCAGAATGTGAAGGGGGAGCAGTCATGTCATCTGGCAAGGGAAGGAGCAAGAAAGAAAGGAGGAGGTGTTAGGCTCCCTTAAACAACCAGCTCCTGCATTAATGAACACAGCAAGAACTCACCCATTACCAGGGGGAGGGCACCCTGAGGCATCCACTCCCATGACTCAAACATCTCCACTAGGCCCAGTCTCCAACTTTGGGGATCATATTTCAACATGAGATTTGGAGGGGACAAATATCCAAAGTATATCATTCTGCCCCCTCACCTCCCAAATCTCATGTTCTTCCTACATTGCAAAATATAACCATCCTTCTCAACAGTCCTCAAGAATCTCTACTTCTTCCGGCATCAACTCAAAAAGTCCAAAGTCTCATTTGAGACTCCAAGTCAAGTTCTTTCAGCCTACTTCTTCCAGCATCAACTCAAAAAGTCCAAAGTCTCATTTGAGACTCCAAGTCAAGTTCTTTCAGCCTATGAACCTGTAAAATCAAAACAAAGATATTTATTTCCAAGGAACAAAGATATTTATTACCAAAGGGATGGTACACACATTGGGTAACATTCCCATTCCAAAAGGGATAAATCAGCCAACAGAAAGGAGTAACAGGCCCCATGCAATTCTGGAACCCAGAGGGCACATATTAGATCTTAAAGCTCTAAAATTATCTCCCTTGACTCTATGTTCTACATACTGGACCCACTGGTGCAGGGAGTGGGCTCCCAAGGCCTTGGGCAGCTCTAGCCATGTGGCTTTGCATGGTGCAGCCCCCTGTGGTTGCTTTCACTGGTTGGAGTCTGTTGCCTACGGCTTTTTTTACACTAAGGTTGCAAACTATTGATGACTGTAACATCATGGGGTCTAGAGGGTGATGGCCCTGTTCCCACAGCTCCACTGGGAAGTACCACAGTGGGTACTCTGTGTGGGGGCTCCAACTCTATGTCCTTGGCACTGACCTAGCAGAGACTCTCTGTGAGGGCTTTGCCCCTGTGTCAGGCTACTGCCTGGGCACCTAGGCTTTCCAATACATCCTCTGAAATATAGGTGGAAGCTGCCAAGCCCTCTTTACTTTTGTATTTTGCACACCCACATGCTTAACACCATATGAAAACCACCAAGGCTTATAACATGTGCCCTCTGAAGTGGTGGCCTGAGCTCTATCTAGGGTACTTTGAGCCAAGGCTTGAGCTAGAGTTGTTGAGATGTAGGGTGCAGCACCTCAGAGGAGAAACAGGGTAGTGAGACCCTGGGCTTGACCCCAGAAACCATTACATTTTCCTAGGCTTCTGGGTAAGCCTTAAGCATTCTACTCATTGAGAAGATTTCCTCCAATTCCTTGGTGCTTAAACTTCAGAGAAGCCTCAAGTAGTGCCTGGGTATCAGTCAAATAGCCCAGCAAGAGTTTATGGTCTGGGGAAAATTTATGATATGCATGAGTGTTGGGGTACATTTAGCTAGCTAAATGCTCAGAGATGTGATACATTTTTAGTAAATACATTGAATTATAATATCTCATGAATTTGCCTTTTTGTAACCACTTAAGAAAGAAATTTGAATCACTAAACAGAAAGAGGATCTTAAGATTATGCGTTTGAGCAAATTACTTGCTAATTTCTGTATTCCATTTGAATTTTAATTGAAGTGCAATTTAATATCTCCTTATCAGAGCAAAGTATTTTTACATTTAGCATATCCTCTACATAAAACCCTTTAAAATTATTGGGCAGAAAGATATGAGCTACCTCATCTTGACTCTCTAGTTATAATGTTATTTTTTAGGTCATATATAAAAGTCTCATATTCTTCACTTCTACTTTGTTAAAATCAGTTCAATAGCTATTGTCTCATATAAAAATAAGAATGATTTTAGAGGTGGTGGTTTTTGTGAATTACTATTGGTTCGGCATGAGTTTTAAAGTCATAAATATTTATGTAGAACCATCATGTTTTTGCAAAACTTTAATATATTCTCGACAAATATAATTCAAGACTTTAAGTTTGTGAGAACAGAGAATGCAGAAATAGGATCACACATCTACAATCATCTGATCATCGACAAACCTGATGAAAACCAGCAATGGCGAAAGGATTCCCTATTTAATAAATGGTGCCCAGAGAACTGGCTAGCAATATGCAGAAAATTGAAACTGGTCCCCTTCCTTACACCTTATATAAAACTTAACTCAAGATGGAGTAAAGACTTAAATGTAAAACCCAAAACTATAAAAACTGTAGAAGAAAACCTAGGCAATACCATTCAGGACATAGGCACCGGCAAACATTTCATGATGAAATCACCAAAAGCAATTGCAACAAAAGCAAAAATTGACAAATGGGAGCTAATTAAATAAAAGAGCTACTGTACAGCAAAGAAACTATCATCAGAATGAACAAGCAACCTATGGAGTGGGAGAAAATTTTTGCAATCTATCCATCTTATCCATCTGACAAAGGTCTAATATCCAGAATCTACAAGGAACTTAAACAAATTTACAAAAAAAAAAAAAACGTAAAAAGTGGGCAAAGGACAGGAACAGACAATTCTCAAAGAAGACATTTAAGTGGCCAACAAAAATATGAAAAAAAGCTCAGCATCACTAATCATTAGAGAAATGCAAATCAAAACCACAATTAGATACCATCTCATGCCAGTCTGAATGGAAATTATTAAAAAGGCAAGAAACAACAGTTGCTGGCGAGGTTGTGGAGAAATGGGAACACTTTTACACTGTTGGTGGAAATGTAAATTAGTTCAACCATTGTGGAATACTGTGTGGTGATTCCTCAAAGATCTAGAACTAGAAGTATCACTTGAGCCAGCAATCCCATTACTGGGTACATAGCCAAAGGTATATAAATCATTCTGTTACAAAGATGCATGCACACATATGTCCATTGCGTCACTATTCACAATTGCAAAGACACGGAATCAATCCAAATGCCTAATATTATAGACTGGATAAAGTAAAATGTGGTATATATACACCATGGAATACTATGCAGCCATAAAAAGGAACGAGATCATGTCCTTGTCAGGGATATGGATGGAGCTGGAAGCCATTATCCTCAGCAAATCAATGCAGGAACAGAAAACCAAACATCACATGTTCTCACTTATAAGTGGGAGCTGAACAATGAGAACACATGGACACAGGGAGGAGAACAACATACCAGGGGCTGTCAGGGGATGGGGTGGGGGGAGGGAGAGCATTAGGAAAAATAGCTAATGCATGCTGGGCTTAATACCCAGGTAATGGGTTGATAGGTGCAGCAGACCACCATGGCATGTGTTTACCTGTGTAACAAACCTGCACATCCTACACATGTACCCCAGAACTTAAGATAAAAATTAAAATTAAAAAAATAATTTCACCAAAAATGGTTTTAAGCTTGTGGCTCTAATATTATGATTAAATAGACAATGCTAAGCCAATGGTTAACTTATTATATGTTTGCTTAGTAATAATAATCGGATATTTCTATGCTAACCTAACTCAGGAAATACATTTTGTTTTGCTGTCTTCTATTAACATATTGTTTAAATTCTCTTCTTAGTATCACAGAAAATTTCTTCCTCCAATGTGAAGTACACAGAATGGTGACCAAAATGTGCCTAGGGTATTTATCTAAAATCACAAGCCCTTGGTATCTGAAGACGGACTTTGAAATTAGGTTTGACCAGTTAACAACTATATGACTTTGGGCAAGATAAAACTATTCTAATCATTATTTTTCTCATTTAAAATATGAAAATCATATAACAATTATATTGAGATAAAATTCAAATTTAATAATGCATATCCTTTATAATTCCTCGGGTATTCTTCACATATGATTTGCTTATATTTTGGAAAGCAATAATTTTATCCATTTTATCTTACTCTACGCAATTTACATGAAGAATATGATTCATTTCAACAAAAGTTATTATCAAAGTGTTCATAACATAGTTCTTCCATGCATAGAGAAAGCAGGAAGCTTCAATATTATATGATGTGTTTGATGCTTTATGCTTCGTTACCATGATAATGTTTGGTATAATGAAGGCATATATAATGTTTATTTTTATTACTACTTTATTCACATCTTTTAAGGGCGACTACATGCCCTTACAGAATAGGATGCTTACCTTATTGCTTTCAAAACACAAAAATACCTATTTCTTGATCCTTTCATTAAAAAATAATCTACTGACTTGATACATTGGAAAATGAGAAATTTAGTAGATTTTTAAAAATTCCTCCCCTTGTCATTATTCAAATTGTTAGTTAGTTCAAATGGTTGTCCTTTAAATTTACATAATGTGTTAAAACTTCTATTTCTTCATTAATCAATTTTAAAAATATCAATCATTTATAAATATGAGGAAATCAACAACTATACTTTGCCTACAAATCTTTTCCACAACTTTCTTATTTATCTTAAATATAGCATTACATTTCAAAATAAAATATAATCACATTTTGGCCGGGCGCAGTGGCTCAAGCCTGTAATCCCAGCACTTTGGGAGACGGAGGCGGGCGGATCATGAGGTCAGGAATTCAAGAACTGTCTGTCCAACATGGTGAAACCCTGTCTCTACTAAAAATACAAAAAAATTAGCTGCGCATGGTGGAGATTGCCTGTAATCCCAGCTACTTGGGAGGCTGAGGCAGGAGAATCTCTTGAACCGGGACCTGGGAGGCAGAGTTTTCAGTGAGCTGAGATGGTGTCACTGCACTCCAGCCTGGGCTACAGAGAGAGACTCCGTCTCCAAAAATAAATAAATAAATAAATAATATATAAATGTGATTATATATATTTTATATATATAATCACTTTTTAATTTGTTATATAACTAAAAATCTCCTGAATTCATTTTACAATTATTTTAAAAATATAAAAACTATTAATGACAATTATAACATCATAATTGTATAACCATTTTCACTGTAGAATGAATAATTGTACCTGTACATATGGAAATTATAGTTACAGATAAGAATATATTTTCTACATCTCTAAACCTGTGCCATTTAATTAAGAATATTTCCTACATCTACAACAAATGCTATTTAAATTTCTTACATCTTATCAAGTGGTTACAATCATGCTGCAGTTCTTTTTTTTTTTCATATTTGAACCACAGTTTTTTTTTGTTTTTTGAGACAGTCTTGCTCTGTCACCCAGGCTGGAGTGCAGCGGCGTGATCTCAGCTCACTGCAACTTCTGCCTCCTGATGAACCAGTTGTTTATTCAATATTTTTTTTCTCTGAAGTTTGGATACCTTCATTTTACTTTAATAAGTGAGGAATATGCCTTCATTTTATTATTATCATCCAATTTCTTAACAATGTTTTATGATAGACGCCATTCTCTAACTTCTCAAAGACATTATTAAAATCCTGTGGTCCCCTACAATAAATCAAATTGGTGGTCTCATACACATATTTGGTACACTTTCATTTTGCTTTTCTAAGCTAGAATTTTGTTTTCCACTTTATCTGGAATGTTGCAGTATCCTTCTTTTCAAGTTGTAGAATAATACTATACTTATTTTTTAAGAGAATGTATAATTGTAGAATAATACATCCTTCTTTTCAAATTGTAGAATAATACTGTACTTATTTTTTAAGAGAATGTTCAAAGGATGTTTACGGAGTACTTACATATTAATATTTATGTCTATATTTATATATATCCTCCTATCTTTCTTATATCTGTCTCTATCATCTATCTCTATGTTAATTTTCTCTTGTTAGCATTTGTATATTTCATCGGCTATAGGACTCTAGTACTAAAGTCATTGCTGTAATGTCTTCCAGCACCCAGTGCTCCTGCAGGGATGCTTGGTACCAATTGGGTGTTTTCCATTGAATGGTATCCTAGTCCCTGCTCCTCTTTCCCAGAATCCTTTGGGTTTTCACTTTTGTCTGAAAATATAAAAATTGTATGGCAATATTTCTATGTGTGAGTCTTTTAAACATTTTCTGGCTTTTATCCTTATAAACCCCTCTCTGAGGATTTACATTCTAATATTTCTGGATTATTTCTTACCATCTATATTTTCTATTCTCTTTCTGAAATGCCTATTATGTGAGCCCTCTACTCATTGTTTTCTTGATGTTTTTCTCTTCATTTATATTAATTATTATTTTCCTCAAGTGTTCATGGATATTTGCTCTTCCTACCTTTCTCTTTGGGCTACTCACTTTCCTCAAATGGCTAGTGACTCCTGGTTGTCAGTACATACTAATAAATAAGAGTTATGTCATAAATGCAGAAGTTTGGGGTTTTCTCTGTAAATTTATCAACCTGTGGGGACATAGCCAATCATTCCCTACCTCAAGCCCCTCAATATACCACTTTACTGTGGCATCCAACTCAGGATAGTGATTCATTTTGTCATACAAACCAGGTCCAAGTCCAAAAACACCTTCTCAGTTGCAGTTCTTCAAGTACGGTTACTCAATTCTGACAGTATGTGTTATGGTTTGGCTGTGTCCCCACCCAAATCTCATCTTAAATTGTGGCTCCTATAATTCCCATGTGTTGTGGGAGGGACCTGGTGGGAGATAATTGAATCATGGGGGTACTTTCCTCAATACTGTTCTTATGGTAGTGAATAAGTCTCACAAGATCCGATGGTTTTATAAGGGGTTTCTGCTTTTGGTTGGTTCTCATTCCTTCTTTCCTGTGGCCATGTAAGACATGCCTTCTGCCATGATTGTGAGGCCTCCCCAGCCATGTGGAAGTGTGAGTCCATCAAATCTCTTTTTCTTTATAAATTACCCAGTCTCTGGTATGTCTTTGTTAGCAGCATGAAAATTGACTAATACAGTGTGTATCTAAAAAAACAATGATCTTCCACTCATACAGCCAGTCTACAGTAATTGAACAGGCATTCAATAGCCAACTATTATAGAGGCCTCTGTTTAGAAAGAGGAAAAATGGAATACACACAGTAGCCCTTGGTTCATAGTAGATATGAAATTCAGTCATACTCATAGTGCCAGTTCCTTAATTGGGCTTCAGTCTTATTTCCTACAGGGTCTATTGCCTCTGCCTTTTGGGCTCTTTGATTTATCTTTTGTTATTCTGTTCCCACAAGAAATGGCCAGTGTTTGAAGCTGGGTAGTTTCCTAACCATTTACTAACTATTGAAGTTTGGTGGCCATGAGACCTCTTTTTCATTGTGTATCTGTCCCTTTCAATTCAAGGTGATATAATTCTTTTAAAAATGTTAACAGCTTCTTAGGAATCAATGTATAATACATTTCATTATACAAAAGACTTTCTATACCTTGGGATTCCTGTGATACTGCTATGGGACTTGGTTTTTAAGATTCTTAGAGAAGTATTGTGAGGACTGCCTGGAAGATTCTTAGAGGGGCATAGTCTGGCAGAATGGCTCTCTCAGGCATTGCTTTATAGCTTTCTGAGTTCTTAACAAAAGATTTTAGAGCCACATCATAGATTTTATCTTTGCCATGAAGGCTTTTCTTAATTTGAGAATCTTGAAGAGCAGAGTATAAGAATGATTTATTTTCAAACCCAGTATGTTCTTGCTCCCTTGTAGGTACTGTAAATTAGTTGAAGACTGGACAATATTTTTAGTTCACCTCCACTCTCATTTTATCATAGTCATTGAGAAGAAGCCAGAAGACTCTTCTAAATTCTGCCCAAAAATCTCCTTCTCTAGATTCATCAATTTACTAGGTACAGTTTCTATTTTCCACATTATGACAAACAAATAAACTTCTCACTGCTATGGAAGAAAAGCCCCTCTTCCTCCATCCTGCTGTTATATTTTTTCCTACTTTCTTCTAAGAATCCCCTAACAGGCTTCTTGAAAGCCGTATGACTTCTCCTAACAATCACTTTGAAGTTGTTTTAATCCATTTGAGTTGCTGTAACAGAATAATACCATAAACTGGGTAGCTTATAAACAACAGAAATGTATTTCTTGCAGTTCTGGAGGCTGAGAACTCTAGGATCAGGGCACCCCCAGATTTGGTGTCTGGTGGAGGGCCTGTTCCCTGGTTCAGAGATGATGCCTGCTTGCTGTCTCTTCACATTGTCAGAAGGGGTGAGGGGTCTTTCTTGGGCCTACTTTTATAGAAGCTCTATTTCCTCTCATGAAGGCTCTGCCCTCAGGATCTCATCACCTCCTAAAGGCCCCACTTCCTAATACCACCAGTTAGGGATTAGGATTTCAACATATGAATTTTGTTTGAACACAAACATTCAGACCATGGCAGGGGCCCTTTCAATTTTTACAAACATTCTCCTCGTTTCAGCTTCCACCCATCATATGCTTCCAATGGTAAATGTTTGAGTTTTGTTACTACAATAATGTGCTTCCAGGTACCAACATCTGTTTCAGTCACTGTGACTCCATAAACTACTCTAAAATGTAGAGGAACAATACAACCACTTATGCTATCCTTTGTAGATCAGAATTTGGACGGATCAGTAGAGATGGCTTTTCTCTGCTTCCCATTATCTGTGACTTCAGCTGGAAGACTGTAAGGCTGAAGGCTAGACTCTTTTGAAGCTCATTCACTCATGTCTGACGGTTGATGTCTTTGGATGTGGTCTCGGTTTGTCTCCACTTGAATCTCTTCATGGGAGCCATCTTGGACTTCCTCACAAGATAATGACTGAGCTCTAAAGCTCAGAAAGAGAGAAGAGAGAAGAGAGAGAGAGAGAACAATCCAGATGGGCGTCCTATCCCGTTTTATGATCAATCCTTGGAAGTTAGGCAGACTCACATGAGCTTCATTATTATTACTGAGGCAGCTACAAAATTCTGTCCAGTTTTAAGGGAGAAGAAATAGATTTCATATACTGCAGGAGACTGGCAAAAATATAGAAGAACATGTGAAGCTGGCAATATTACTGTGGTCCTCATTGGGAAATAAAGCGTGCCACCCTTAGCTTGACTCTACTTGTCTCTACTTCCTTCTATGATAAGGACAGAGAGTGGGCAGCAAATAGTGCATTTGACAGCCTAGGATCATCTAATGGAACTACCTTTGCATGTGTTCTCTTTCTTTCCTTACATTATTCAGTTCTGCTGGACTTTACACCTCCAAAAATAGTTAAATATACTCCTGGAATCTTCAGGCTTTCAGTGTCTTTGTGTGTGTGTGTGTGTGTGTGTGTGTGTGTGTGTGTGTGTGTTACAGGGTCCTTTGTGCCATTTTTCTGTTTCATCTGTCTTCTCTTGCCCTGAGCAGTAAACAGCCTGCTAGAGATCCTAGAAATGATCATTAGGGGAATGAATTAGGTTCTGCTTTGTATTTGGCCCAAAGTCTAATTCAAATAGAAGCTGACAGTAAATCAACAAAAGTAGACCTGGGACATCTCCCTCTGTGTAAGACTGCTGACTCATTTCCTCATCACATTAGAGAATGTATTACAGTGAATATTTTTATGGTGACAAAGAAGATAACACTATGTGCTAATGGGCATTTTTGACTGTATTTTCTTTGATTTAGTATTATTTCATGGCTAGAGCAGCAAGAAGATATTTTGTATTCTTTTAAATTATGATACAAATGAATATAGCATGTTTTTAAATTTTATTGCTAGATCTTAAATCATCAAATTAAGACTATAATAATATAATTTGTACAACTGGAGGAGAAAGGAAGTATTTTGAAAAATAGACAGAATGTGATTTTACTACATCCTACTCCCTAGTAAAGAAAAATTAATACTTAATCAGCAGGACAGTGATTTTTATTATTACACCACTATGACACCAAATTTCTATTTTTATATAGCTTTTCATGCTACATAAAAGATGCATAAAGTAATGAAGCTTAACAGTAGATCTATTTGGAGACTTGAAGATAGCTTCCTAAATATCATGAAACTAATATTAAGTAACTAGAAAACATAAATTTCATTTAATTCAAATAGTAACTATTAAGCAACTTCTATGTGATAAGCACAGTGAATAATTCAACAATGTGTCTCTCTCAAATAGATAAAGCATGCAAATAATGTAAAAGCAATCATCCATTTGTTGACTTTGACATGTACAGCAATTCAGCACTTGGCAAGGATGTACTTTGTCCTTCAGAGATTTTATAATTTGTTTTAGAAGAGGAGTAAAACAAAAATAATTAATATGTGAAAACAGTAATTTTCTTTAAAAAATTGAGCCCTAAACACCAAATCCTGTGAGTTTTTCAAGTAAAAAGAAACATAAAAGATCAATGTAGAGTGAATACTTCAGTATTTGAAAAGGAAGGAATTTTAAACCAAGCTTTAGAGGGACAGTAGGGTTTCCACAGGTAGAGAGGAAGAGAAAAGAGACTTTTAGAAAAGTGAGAGAACTAAATATGAATACAACCATGGAGATGGGGAAGAAAGACCCTCAATATGAAGAAATACCCCTTAGAACAATTCAGGAGCAGCCTTCTGGGTGGTGAACTAGGGAAACCAGGCTCTGGGGCAGTTTCTCCACACTTCTGATTTCCTCACCATGCAATGAGGACAACTACACTGTCCCCATTGTAGTGGTAACAATTAAATCACACAGTGCCAAAGCCTGTGCAGCATATAGACATTAGACTATAAACTTTGTTATGAAAGGAGTTATTTATTGCTAAGCACTGAAACAGTATCCAACATAGTGTGGATACTTTAGCTGAAGTAGTCACATGAGTCTTTCAGTCTACAGCAAGCAGCCACTTACTGAAAATGTGCCATTGATGCTGTTACTCTCTTGGAAGGGACCCAACATGATGCCTGAAATAGGATACAGGTTAGCCCCACTTCAGGAGTTTCCTGACACGCTGGGTGTGTTCTCTTTAAAACATGGCTAAGGCACTTAGCCTAATGACATACATATTTGCCCCAACTTTATATGAAAGACAGTGGAGGGTGGTAGAAAATTCTGGAGTTTGGATGAAGATGCATCTGGGTTCAAATATTGGCCTCACTGTATATACAACGTGTGCCTCGGGCAAGTCACAGAGGAATACTGGCCCCCAGTGCCCAAAGGTAAGAAAAAAACTTGCCCTTTCTTACTTCACAGGTTTATTGTATATGTAGTATGTGTGTGTGTGTGTGTGTGTGTGTGTGTGTGTTATTACTTCACAGGTTTATTGTATATGTAGTGTGTGTGTGTGTGTGTATGTGTGTAGAATGTGTAAGTGTTAAATATCTCAGAAGGGCAAGTGTGCTGCACAGCACTATGTCAACTTCGATTACAGTCCTACTTCTATGAATAAACAAGAACTGAATTTCCTTCCCATTAGATCTCTACCAGCTTGTGCCATTCTGTCATACCTTAAACGCATGACTTAAAAATGTGCTGTAGCATATTCATTTCCTACAAAGCTCAGAGATACTTAGATATCAATTTTTAGGGCTCTTTATTCTTAGGACTTAATAAAGACTCAGTATTAAAGTCCAAGGTATAATTGAAAAATCATATATTTTGATCTGCAGTAAACCTAAAGGGAAATTTTTTCAAGTCTATTTTATACTTCCCAAGTCTGTTTTATGTAAACAAAAATACAGAATTCAATGACATCTTCGGAAATATTCAACTCATAAATTGTTACTGCTGAGCTTCGCTACTTTGGACTATTACCAGAGAACTTTTACTTTCATACATTACTTTGGTCTCTTTCTTTTTTACTACTCTGACAGGCTTCTTCCTTAGTTTTCCCTGAAACAAACAGAAAGCCTTATCTCTTTGGGTCTTAATTCCATGCTGTAGTCAGTTTGATTCATCCACACTTACTACTAAATAACTTCTTTCATCCACACTTACATACTAAATAACTTACGTACTAAATATACTTACATATGAAATAACTTCTTTTAGAATAGTCGAGCCCTGAAATTGTCCTAATAACTGTCCCCAAAATAGGCTACAAAATAAGCCAATCATCTGTTGCAGGGCTCTTATTCTCAGTCACTGGCTTACAGCTACAGGGGAAGGATATTGGCTCACTTCATCAACATATGTATCGTACAAGGGCAATAAGGCATCCTTTTTACTTATCTCACCTTTACTGGTAGCTCTTTTCTCACCATCAGAAGGATCATACTGCAATGTTTTCAAAATATATTCTTAGCATCTCTGTGGATGACAGCTGTATGACACTATCCCCTCTTTGCTAGGTCAGAACATACTGGAAAATATATGTCTTTAGCAGAAAAAGCAGTTTCATTTTTACCATTGTACACAAAAGCACAAACATCTACAATACAGTGAACCTACTGTTCATAATAAAATAAATAAAATGTAACTATAAACCAAAAGCTGCAGAAGGAATTAAAACAGCACCATGAAAATAAAATGCATATTTCTAGACTCTCAAATAGTTGATTTTGAAGTCCCACAGAGGCCCATTAATGGCTGTGTTTATGTTTATGTAAATAGAGTCGATGGTTAGGAACATGCAGTGACTGTTAAATTTAAAAAGCATTTTGGAAATAGTGGACACCTAAGGTTTCTCTTAACGATTACATGTCATGTTTTCACCTTTTCCAGAATCCGTTGACTCACTACCATTATTGACTGTGTATGTTCTCAACTATTTTATTTCTGTCTGCTTCTTATATTATTACATGGTAACTTTACTTTATTTGTATAATGTGTTCTTAGTGCCTTAGGGAACAATGGATAATTGGAGTGGTCAATTTGTCCCCAGATATCTTAGAAAAAACACTTTTATGGTCTGTCAGTGAGGGATTTCAGGGAGCCCCCAGTTGAATGTTACATTTGAGAAAATGCTTCCAGGTTCACAGAGCACAAGTTTTCTTGCAGAGCGAAGGGTAGGGATAATAGCCTCATTTCTTAATCATCTTTAGTAATGATTCTATGAAGAATATTTCTGTGGTGGTCCATCTGTGAAACTTTCGACTGTAGTTACAAAGAGTTGCTCAAAATCCTGACAGAGATCTGCCTGTGGTCACGATACTTGGAACAAATGAGTCAGAAGTTTAGGAGTTGAGCAATTAGCTGGACATAACCAGAGGATAGGACCACCATGACTAATAAGTGGGCACAAAAAGGAAGTCAATTAGGAATAAACCTAATAAAGCCTTCAGAAATACTTACACTACAAAGGCATTTCCACTCCACTAAATTATGGTGATGACTTTGGAAAATTTATCTGCTTCCTTCTTCAAGAGCATAGTCATGGGGGTGGGGGTGAAGTTACCCATGAACCCTAGTCCCTGTGTAGTAACTGAAACTCTCTCCATAAATAAAGAACCCAAGGAAATTTTGAGGTGGCCAGCATTACAAAATTTAGAGTTTAAAGGCCTACTATACATGCCCATTAGAACCTATAGCTATTTTATAATTCATCCCTACATTTCTTCAGTAAATAATTATTAAGCACCTACTATATGCCAGACACTATTCTAGAATGCATCACGGAACATCACAAAGAACCTCCGGCAGGGAGCTTCCATACAAGGTGAGAGATCTCATTCATAAATACAAAATAAGGGGGAATTCAGAAAGACTACTAGCATTCTCCAAAGTCATTCATCTGGTCAATAATTGAGCCAGGATATAAACTCATAATCAAAGGCTGTTTCTTTCACAAAGCTAACATACAAGTAGAATTGAGTCTGCATACATACACAATTGAGCACACAAAAACACACTGCTGATTTCTATGTAGTTAAAAGGTCTATGCCTTTACACTATAGGATTACATAATGTTATAAAAGCCTTTTTTCCAGGATTTTCAGATGATGTTCATGTATCTTTATGATATAAAACAAACAAACAAACAAACAAAACAGAACTTCAGACAATGTGGATTGTGAAAATTTTGATATGAATCATTTTATTGGAATGTTTCTTCATCTTTATTCTAATAAACCATCTAGTCAAAACTATAAAAACATTTCAGATTTGCCTTTTCTGCCTTACAGTGGGTAATCTTTCAGGACTCTACACTGAAAGGTGCCACACAATAATCAAATAATTCTTTAAACAACTGGCATGCTTAAGTTTCTTAAAATACTAAAATATATACAAGTATATGTTTTTATTTTTGTTTTTATTTTATTTTATTGCAAGTCAATGCAAAACAAATAAGCTAAAAATTAGCTATATCTTAAAATGCATCTTATTTTTAGTTTCTTGGGGAGCTGAGTGTCCAATCTGAAATCTCCAGGCTTTTTGGGTGTTTAGACATTCCATTTGACCTCTTTATCCTTCAACCCAGGGGAAGGTGGCAATGACTTCCTGAGGAAACTTCATAGAATTGTGTGCACTCTGAAGTAGGCAAGATGGAGCATGTAAGAATTCCTGTAATCATCCCATAAGATGGCTGACAGAGTTTTATTTGGTCTCCATGTGGGTTCCACAGTTTGAAAAATAAATGTTTCGGAATTCAGAATTCATAAACTAGACAAGCAGCGTGGAGATGAAGACCATTGACACTATGGGGTCTGCTATAGTTTGAAGGTTTGAATGTGTTCCCCAAAGTTTATGTGTCGGAAACTTAATCCCCAATGATACAATGTTAAGGGAAAGGACTTTTAAGAAGTGATTAGGTCATGAGGGTTCTACCCTCATGAATAAATTAATGTCCTCATGGTTGGAGTGGATTTCTGATTAAAAAAATAAAAATAAAAATAAAAATAAAGAATTCTGCCCCCTTCCTCTTTGTCTTGTCCTCTCTCATTGTCTTGCCTTCTTTCATGGGAAAGCACAGAAAGAAGATTCTTGCCAGATGCCAGCGCCTTGATATCTGACTTTCTTGCTTTCAGAACTGTGAAATAAACTTATCCTCTTTTTAAGTCTCCCAGTTTGTCATAGTCTGTTACAGCAACACAAAATGGGCTAAGATAAGGCCCATTACAAAAACACGGGATGCAGGCATCAGATCCAGGCAGGTAAAGAAGAGTTGTGCTGAGAGAATGGCAGAAACTGAGGCAGGAAAGGAAGGCAGCAGTTAGATTATGAAGGGCCTTAAGTGCTAAATTCATATGTTTAAATTTTTTTTGCTGACAGCTTTAAGAATTATTGAGATATTATAAGCTGGACAATATCCTGTTTTTGTGTTTTGTTTTAAATTACTTTGTCCTTTGTGAGAAGGGTGAATTAGAGGGAAGCCAGTATGGCAGCTCATGGTCCCCAGTAGTAACAATAGTGATAGCCTGAATTATAATACTCATAGCAGAGAGGTAGTAAAGGGGGGGATGGTCTAAATATGGTTAACAGTAGATTCAGCAGCACATTATTGATGGATTAATTAACTAACTGATTAGATATTAGAAAAGACTAGATTGATTCTCAAATGTCTGCTATAGATGTCTAGAGAATGGAGTCATAACTAATACAATTGATACTAGGGAACAAACAGCCAACCCTAGGGAAAAAAAGAGATGAGTCCCTTTTGGACAGGGATTTCACATGCCTGTAGATGTTCAATTAGCCCGTTCAGTCAGCTGTTAGATACATTGTGTTATAGATCTCCCAACAAATCTGAACTAAATTAGAAATAAAATAAGAAAAGAAAAATCCTGCAGGCAGGCCATGGCTTTGCAAGGAGAGGATGTATACTTCACAAGGTACATCTCTCTGCTGACTTCATCACAGTCTGATATCTGTTTCTCAATGTCACTGGCCCAGAAAAGCAATTTCTTTAGGATCCCAGAATTAATGAGACTAAAAAATGATGACTCACACTAAGAAAACTTTAGAAAAACCAATGTATAACAAAGGAATGTAAATGCATAATGCTGTAAAAAAAGAAAATAATGATCAAATACAGTAAATACTCATTAACCTACCTTTTTAGTCCTCCTTATTTGCAGGTTTCAAGGGATGCTAAACAATCAAAAGCTTTCTCAAGAAACACAGAATCAGACAATACATAATTCCATGGAGTGGGAATAAATTTAATAGTAAAAAACTCTTCTATCATTAAAACACACTTACTTGAATGGTCAACATCCAAAATGCTGACCACACTAAATGATGATGAAGACATGGAGCAACAAGGCCTCTCAACGAGGAATGGAAAATGGTACAGCCACTTTGAAAAACAATTTGGCAGGTTCTTACAAAACTAAACATACCTTTACCATACAGTCCATCAATTGCACTTCTTGATAATTATTAAAAGTAGCTAAAAACTTATGTCCACACAAATACAGCACATAGATGTTTATAGCAGTTTTATTCATAATTATCTAAACTTGGAAACAACTAAGGTATTTTTAGCAAGTAAATGCATAAATAAAATGTGATACCTTCAGACAGTGGATTATTACTCAGTGCTAAAAAGAAATGTGTCATCAAGCTGTGGAAAGACATAGGAAACTTAAATGCTTATATCTTATTATTTTTTATTTATTTATTTATTTATTTTTGAGATGGAGTCTGGCTCTGTTACCCAGGCTGGAGTGCAGTGGCACAATCTCGGGTCACTGCAACCTATGCCTCCTGGGTTCAAGCAATTCTCTTGCCTCAGCCTCCCAAATAGAGTAGCTGGGACTACGAGCATGTGCCACCATGCCTGGCTAATTTTTGTATTTTTAGTACAGACGGGGTTTCACCATGTTGGCCAGGCTGGTCTTGAACTTCTGACCTCAAGTGATCCACCTGCCTCGGCCTCCCAAAGTGCTGGGATTATAGGTGTGAGCCACCATGCCTGGCCTTAAATGCTTGTTTCTATGTATGATTCTAATTATATGACTCTCTGGAAAAGGCAAAATTCCAGAGTCCTGGGTAGAAGGGGGTGGATCCCCAGTAAGGCCCCACATTAGGGCCAGGGAGGGCCTGAAGGCTGGGGGCCAAGCTACCAGTCCCCTGGACTGGAGTGTGAACTAGTGGTGCTTCTTCTGAGCAGCCTATGGCCGCCCATGGACCAATCAGCACAGACTTCCTCCCTTCTGAGGTCCATAAAAGCCCTGGGCTCCGCCAGAGCAGGGTAGAGGATGGACAGAGAATGGAAAGGGCAGAGAGATGACAATGGGACAACCCACTGCAGAGAGGTATACTCTCTCTGCTGAGCTGGAGATGATGGGATGATCAGCTGCAGAGAGGAGTACCCTCTGCACTGAGAGCTGCAGAGATGACCTGCTGGCAGAGAGGAGCTACCCTCTCTGCTGAGAGCTTCAGAGACCTGCAAAGACGTTGGAGTAACTTGCCTGCAGAGAGGAGCTACCCTCTCCAGGGTCTCCTCTCTGCTGAGAACTGAACACTCGACTTGATGACCTGCCTACAGTGAGGAGTTACCCACTCCTCTGAGCTGTTAAATAAAATGCTTATTCACCCTTCACTTGTCTGCATACCTCATTCTTCTTGGATCCAGGGCAAGAACTTGGGCAAAGGTGCCGCAGCCACAGAGGTTTCCAGTCAGAAAAATCAACACCCCAGAGACCCCGTAACAAAACTATTTTGTATGAGCCTATAATGGTGGATTCATGTCCATATGTATTTGTCCAAACCTATAGAATTCTCAACGTAAGAGTGAGCCCTAATGTAAACTATGGACTTCGGGTGATAATGACATATCAATGTAGGTTTATATTATAACAACTGTATCACTCCAGCAGTAGATGTTAATAAGGGAGGAGGCTATGCCTGTGTTGGGGCAGGGATATAGGGCACATCTCTGTACCATCCTCTCAATTTTGCTGTGAACCTAAAGCTATTCTATAAAGTAAAGTCTATTAACAAAAACAGAAACCATTCATAATTCATGTGCAATAATTTTACTCTTTTATTTCTGTAACTAGGTTTTCTTACTACATTAGACAACATTGTGTTTGATGCAACAAATATAAAACCTGATAATTTTCAAGTAACTCAGACAACTTCAGTAACTTGTAGTATAGTTTAAGGCTTAACATTTTAATCTCAGCACTCTTTCTGTCTCAGATTGCACGTATGTTCAAAGAAAGCTTTTCTACTATCATGGATGATTGTTATGCTTTTCATCTTTGTTATTTAGTATCTGTCAGGAGACAAAATGTCAACAAATATCTGTTAAAGAAGTAAATTAAGAAATCATAAAGTGGCCGGGCGTGGTGGTTCATGCCTGTAATCCCAGCACTTTCGGAGGCCAAGGAGGGCAGACCACGAGGTCAGGCATTCAAGACCAGCCTGGCCAACATGACGAAACCCCATCTCTATTAAAAATATAAAAATTAGCTGGGCATGGTGGTGGGTGCCTATAGTCCCAGCTACTCGGGAAGCTGAGGCAGGAGAATCACTTGAACCCAGGAGGCAGAGGTTGTAGTGAGCTGACATCACGCCACTGCATTCCAGCCTGGGCAACAGAAAATAAAAAAGAAATCATAAAGTATTCCAAAACATTATATATCTATGATAAATTCTAAAAGATGGCATAATATATCTGTAATACATTCTAAAAGATGTCATGACATATCTATGATACATTCTAAAAGATGACATATACTACAATCATAGTAGTCTTTCTCTTCTTGATTGTAAGGGAACAGTCTCTTGCCCTATTTAGTTAAAAGAAGGCTGAGCGTTAAGACTATGATATCAAATATTTCTTAGATATTCTTATTTCTTTTCTACACCATGACTAACCATTTTATTAATAAAGTATGTGATGTATGAAGAGTCTAATTCATAGTCCTAGAAAGTGTTTTACAAGTAAAAGAGTACTCAAAAATCAGGGACATTTGAAAACACGTATAACAAATTTATTTGTCACAATCATTAAGAGGGTTTAAAAAATTTAGAGGCAGGGATCAAAGATGATAAAATATTGAAATGTATAATACATTCCAGCACAAGAAGAAATTATCCCACATAAAATAACAACCACTCTATAACTGAGACACATAGATCTGGAATGTTAGAAATGATGTATATATAGCAAGCCCAGACCTAAATTCAGGTTTTCAGACTGCCTGAAATATCAGAACAAAGAATGAAACATCATAGAAATGTTAACTTCAGGACTGACCTGTGAAGTCTAGTTGATTTATCACTTCCACAAATCTTAATTTGATTCATGGACATTTAGCTGAAATTTGAGAAATCAGATTGATTTAGTGTACTTAGGAAATATCTGTGCTCTCTAAGTCGTGGTGTGTACATGCATGTGTGCATGCATGCCTGTGTATGTGTGTGAGCACCTCTGTGTGTGTATGTATGCCTTTGTGTGTGTGTGTGTGTGTGTGTGTGCGCATGCACCTCTGTGTGTGTGTGTGCACACATATGCACAAGAAAGGGAGAGAAAGAGGAAGAAGGTGACAGACTGAAAAGGAAAAAAGATACCTTTAAGTATTTGGGAGTATTTTTAACTTTTCTTTCTTTATTCCCTAACCCTACTCTACCCAATTCTGTCAAGAAGAGTAAAGTGAAAGATATCACCAAGGATACCGATCATGCGCTGTGCATACTATGCTAAGATAAATTGGGTGTTTTTTGTAGACATCACTAATGTTTACCAATATTTATTTTCTTCTCATTCCTGAGCATAAAGAATACTAGACTTCCAACACCCTCATGTTAGGCAGAATCATATGTTACTGGCCAGTGTACAGTCAGTGGAAATGCCTAAAAAGAAGAACTGGTAAAAACACTGAAGAATTTGTCTGCTCTTTCTTCCTCTGTTGTGGTTACTAGGGGATTTTGGGTTGAGATGTGGAACCACGAGATCAAAGTAGCTTGGATCACTAATCACCACATAGAGACCACTATCTGGAGTGTTTTATGGAACTTGAGCAGATTTTGAGTGTAAGAGGAATAAAAGTGCATTGTACCAAGTTATTGCTTGCTGAGAAATATTATTGCTTCATACCTATGCTACCCTAATACTGTTTTCTTATCTCCATCTTGCTGAAGCTTAGAGAATATAAGTAACTTTCCCTGCATCACAGTTAAGTGTCTGACCCCAGAATTAAACCCAAATCTGGTTGCCACTGTCACGGGATTCCCACATCACCACAATTGCCTTTCAGTAAATTCTTTAACTTTGTCCTCTGTGATTCATTAACATATCTCTTTATTCTTTCAGCTACCACACTGGAAGTCTGTGACGACTTGGCCTAAAGCAATGTTTTTCACCTGTTCATCTGACTATAGCCTGTCTTTAATCCAGACTATATAGCACTTCCTACCAGAATAGTTTCCTAAAATATTCCTTGGTTCATGACTCTTTTCTGCCAAAAAACTTCTGTAATTGCTGGCTTCGTGTAGGCTAAAATCTATTTTTAAAATATTGGAACCATAGAGTTTTCAAGTTTAGGAAAAGTTTAAGATTATTTATCTTAAACTTCTTATTTTGAAGAATATAAAACTGATGGCTGTGATTTCTCTATGGCCCCATAATTATAAGCAGCAAAGTCAGAGAAAATTACAGAGATTCTGCATTTATGAAAATGCATAAACTAGCTTTAACCTACTTTATGAGCATGAGTTATGGAGTCAGAATACCTGGTTGAATTCAGTCTCTTTTGTTTGATAGCTGTGTAAGTTTATCAAGAACTTCTAGGATCTAATATTCTGATTTACCAACTGGGAATAATAATATTGTCTATCTCAAAAGGTTATTACTAGAATTAAATGAGCTAACACAGGTAAAGTATTTAAAGCAGTATGGCATATTAAAAGCTGTGTGTAACATAATCAATTTTCATTACTTCTCAAAACAGTTCATTTTCTTCAAGTAGTCCAGTGCTCCACATTTCCTCAGAATATGCCATTTGAATCCATACAATTATACTTTTGTCTTTGCAGCTACCTCTGGCTGAGTACATGGCTTTGCTTTCCATATTTGATGTTATCTACATATATTCAATATCAGATTGAAGTCCTACCTGCTATATAAACCATTCTGTGAATTCCCCAGCACCTGTGATATCTCCAATCTTGGAATTCTGACTCTGTGTATGTATGTGTGTGTGTGTGTGTGTTTGTGTGTGTGTGTGTGTGCATGCCTATCACATATTTGGTGCTTATCACATCCTGCCTTAAATTATCTTACCAACATTCTCTCTCTGTGATTATCTCAGGTTGCACACTTTGGTGAAGCAAGCCACTGCATTAAAGAGACCTTTGTGGCAAGAACTGACATCAGCTTTGAGACAAGAGCCAGCTAAGAACTGACGAACTGAGGCCCTCAGCCCAATTTATAAGAAATGAGTTCTGCCAAAAATGATATATTTTTGGAAATGTATCATTCTCAGTTGAGTCTTCAGACAAGACCTCATCCCTGGGCAACACCTTGATTCTAATTTTGTGAGGGATCCTGAAGTAAAGAACGCAGTTAAGCTTTGCCTGGATTCCTGACTCACAGAAACTGTGAGATCAAAAAAGCGTGTTAAGCTTCTAAGCTTATGGCTGATCATCTGTTATGTTGCAATAGGAAACTAGTACACCTGGGCCAGTGGCAGGAGAAAAGGCAGTAAATTAGAATCTCACTTTTAAGGGCAGAGCAAAGAAAACAAGCCAGAGGCAAACAAATTAGTTTGACAAAAGATCATGTAGTAACTGTACTATGTATACATTTACATATCATATAGTATATGCAGAACATTGGAGAAAATACGCAAGGGGAAACTCAAACTTCCTGTCTCATTAGAAAGCTTTTTCGAGGCATAGTATCTACCCCGTTGCATGAGAAATGCCCTTCATTATCTGTAAATAACAGCAACAAGCTTGTTTGCTGAACATGATGTCAGTCTTCTAGTACTGCATAAAGATTCGAGAGACCTCTAGGGAATTTACAATTTAATCAAGGGGAAGACAAGATGGAGTATCTTTGCCCAGCTCCTGCCCCTACTCTCTCAAATCTTCTCACTTACTGCTAATTTACTCCATTTTCTTCTTGCAATATTATGTCATTAGACAGATGTGAATATTGAAATTTCAGAATAAAAAAGAAGAGCATTTTTCCTCTTCCCAGCTGAATTTTCCATATACTTCTTTAGAATATAGATAATGCCTATTAATTTATAAAGAAATGCAGCTCAGCTAAAAATATTTGCCTTACGGAAATGGTGCCATGCAGCTGAAAATATCTGTCATATGGAAGCTAATTTGCCTTAATTCAATAGAGGTAGTGTGCTATGCATTAAAGAACAATAATTTAGAATCTAGAAAACATTTGAATTTGAATCTTGCTTTTATAATGTATGAGCTTTGTTACTTTTATTGTTTCTAAATCTTGATGAATCTGTTTTTTCTTCAGTGAAACTGAGATTTAAAAAAGCTATCTCAGTGTTGCTTTGATAAGTATATTAAGTAATTAATATAGTGTCCTTGAGACCTTGTAATAGTTCCTCAAATATCAATTACCCTCTCTCCACCTCCTCCCTGTCCCTTTCGCTTACCACACAAACTCACACAGGCAAATGTACATTTTGTTCCAGTGCTTTCTACAATCGAATGTTCCGCAGAGAGCATCACAGGATATTTTGCTGTCATAAGAGAACTAATTCTTTGTGTAGCACAATAAGAGCCACAGTTAAAAAACAAAAACAAACAAACAAAAAAAACCTCTAACTTCTTTCTGTAGCTGTGGCTTGAGTTTCTTATTTTTTCTTGAAGGCCAAGGGAATTAAAAAAAGTTTTAATTGGCAGATGAAATTATATGTATTTATCATGTACAACATGATGTTTTAAAATATATATGCATTGTGTAATGACTACATCTAGCTAATTAACATGAGTTACTTCACAGTTATCAATTTTGTTGTGAGAATACTTAACATCCACTGTCTCCACATTTTTCAAGAACACAATATAATTTCAAGGCCTGGACTAAGCCTAAAGAGAGAACAGTGAAATGACACTTTAGGGCCTGGGATAAAAGAATACAATATATTGTTATGAACTATAGTCACCCTGTTGTACAATATATCTCTTGAACTTACTTTTCCTATCTAACTGAAATTTTGTATCCTGTGGCCAACATTTCCTCAATGTCTCCACTCCCATGATCCCAGCCCACAGTAACCACCATTCTATTCTCTAGCTTTGTGGGAGATCAACTTTTTAAAATTTCACATCTGAGTGAGATAATGCATTATTTGTCCTTCTGTGTGTGGCTTATTTCATTTAACATAATGTTCTCCAGGTTCATCCATGTTGTTGTAAATGGCAGAATTTTCTTCTTTTATATGGTCAAATAGCATTCCATTGTACATATATAATACATTGTCTTTATTCATTCATCCATTGACTGAGATTTAGGTTGATTCCATATCTTGACCATTGTGAATAATGCTGCCATAAACCTAAGAGTGCAGATATCACCCCACACCCGTTAGAATGGCTATTATCAAAAAGACAAAAGATAACAAGTGTTGGTGAGGATGTACTGATGTACTGATTTACATTCACACCAATAGTATAAAGGATAAAGGAAACCCTCTATACTACTGGTGGGAATGTAAACCCTCTATACTGTTGGGGGGAATGTAAATCAGTACAGCCATTATGAAAAACAGCATGAAGTTTCCTCAAAAAGATCAAAATATCACACCACATAATCCAGTAATCCCACTGCTGGGTGTGTATCCAAAAGATGGTGGAATTTTAATGTGACTATAATGTCCACAGCACATCTCTAAAGCACTCGGATGAAGTTATTTATCAAGCTGAATAAATATGTGGTGCCAGGGAAGTTTGATTTCAAAAGTAATACAAGATCACTTTTGACCATAGTTCAGAACAAATTCGTTATGTTTACAGAAATTTCTGGTATATATTTGTATTTAAGAATTTTCCTTTATATTTGAAAGAGTTCAAGCTTTAAGGGGTTTTCTGCTCAGCAAATCAGTTGTAAGCTGACCATGTGCTTCTTTTATAAGTTGGCATTTGCCTACTCCTTGCCAGAAAGAGATATTTGCCATTTTTTCCAACCATTTTTAATTAATTTGATGCATGCTACAAAATTCAGAATTTAGTTAGTCCTTATTTTTGTTGTGTCAGAATAATTGTTCTGCTCTGTCTTGCTATTAATTAAGTTAGTATACTAACCCTGAACAAACAGGTGACTTTAATTTGGTCTTAGACTGGATTTCATACTATTTGACCTTGGCTGAAGTGAAATCTTTAAAACTGAGTAAGTTGGGGGCCAGATTTTAGTGTGCTTGTTGACTAATGCAATTACATAATGCTTTATTATTAGTTAATTTTTAAATTAAATTTTGGAATATAATTTTCTATCAGTGTTAGCTTAAGTCCATACTGACATTTGAATGATAGTCCCCCTAATCTCTCTATTAAGCTTAGTGGTAGCCCGTACCAAAAAACTACATTTTGAACCACATCAGTAGGAGTTATATATCCAGACTTCTTACTTCAGTTATTTGCAAGGAGGTGTTAATGAGACTGACATCTTATACTTAGTCAATTATAGTGTAAATGCATATATTGCTGTCTTCACCTCAGCAAGAAATTTGAAATGCAGGTGTCTTGTCATTTGAAGTCAGGAAGAATTATTCATCATTACATGAAAAATGTTTCATTTTACCTGAAAAATATATCTGCTGTAAGCCCTATGAATACTGGATTAGTAGGAAGACTGGGCTTTAGCATAAATGGAATATATAATATCTTCTAAGTAATGTAATGTTGAAACACTGTCTTAGTTTGTATTTCCCTCCCAAACAAAGCAGAGGCAAAGACATGGGTGCAGGAAGGTTATTTGGAATGAGTTCTCAGGAAGCAAGAATAAGGATATGAGAGAATAAGAAAGGACAAAAGGAAAAGTCATAATGAGAAAGAGAGAGAAAGGGGGAGAGAGAGAGAGAAAGAGAGGAGTTTTCCAGGATTTCTGAGAAATGTATGGAATGCTACTCAAAATTGTTCACATGAATAGAAGGCTGTAACATTTATTTCATCTCTGGTCCTAATTGTTCAAGGATTATTCTTGAAAGCATGAACTGTCCTGTACTTCTGTAATATTCTAGCATTTATGGGCAGCAATATGCCATGTTATGAAAGACTTTGAGGCCAAATGAGAAAAGACAGTGGTGAAATTTCAGGTGAAACATTGGCAGCACAAGATGAATCAAAGCCCCCTAGAATGGAAATTGAATTGGAGGTGTGTCATGGCATAAGATGTCAGCACCAAGTTCTCTCTAATAATTATTGGGTAAATCTTTCCTTTGAAATTATTTGTCAGCCAGTTCCTAAAATTTCCTTCTTGGGAAATTTTTCTTTGATTCCCTAAATAAAAGATAAGTTCAAAGGGAAAATGCGTCTTGTAGAAAAAAACTCAAATACCCCATTACATTTTAACGGAAATGGCTGGTCTCAGAGATTTTATGAGCAGGTAAGTAATATGATGACATTGGCTTCTGAAAGACGTGGACATCAAGAAATGAGAAAATAACATAGCTAATTTTAATTCACCTTACAATTTTTCCCAGCAACCTGAACAGTAATATAATTTTTCCACATTGGTAGACAATTATCATAGGTAAATGTGTAACTACGAGGACACAGAGACATTATAGCCATTGTCTAAATTATCTATTGTTGCATAACAAACTATCCCAAAATTCAGTGGCTTAAAACAATTCTTGTGTTACATCTTAAGATTTTTTGGATTAGGAATCCAGGCACCATACAACTAAAGCGATATTTCTGCATCAGTTAAAGTGACCCAGTCGTATTCAACTGGTTGATAAGTTGGCATGGGAATCCAAGATGGCTTCACAGATCGGTCTGACACCTTGGTGAAGAGGCTGCAAGGCTAGAATAAATTTTGACTGTCACATGGAGAACATGTATGTGCCTTCTTTAGCATAGTGCTCTAACACTAAGGTCTCTCAGGGCTCTAAAAGAGAGTAATCCTTGAGGCCTGGGCAGAAACCAGAAGCTTCTTAAAACATGACCTTGATAGCACCACAATGTCACTTCTGCCATATACTATTAGTCAAGCATGTCGCTAAATCAGCGCAGATCCAAAAAGAGGGGAATTGAACTCTACTTCTTAATGCAAGGAGTAGCAAATAATTTATAACCATCTTTAATCTACCACAGCTGTGATATTTGATCTTGGCTTCAAATTAATGTTTTTATGGGATTTTAAGAAAGCTGTGAAGTTTTACTTTACCACATTAAGCGTTCTCCTCTTAAGAGGCAAGAAGCTAAGTCCCAGTTTACATGCCAGCCTCAGGAGGAAAATTTAATGAAAGATGAAACAAAGAACTGAATTTCAACCACAGATGTAAACACTGCAAGAATTTATTATACTTATTTCCATTGAAACTTTAAAATGTGGTTCGATAATCAGATTCATACCTTTAAATAATTAATAGCATATCGTGAGTTCCTCTTTTTTGACAAGATTGATTATGCAAAAACAGTTCATCTATTTGTGAAATTTTTCATATTTTGTCACATCTAAATATAAGCCTAGCCTCATGTTTTAAGGATATCTGTTACTAAGTGTATGCTTGAAGGTATAATTATATATATATATATATATATATATATATATATATATATATATATATTTAATCCTTTTTTTTTTCTTTTTGAGACAGTTTCTTACTATGTTGCCCAGGTTGGAGTTCAGTGGCACGATCTCAGGTCACTGCAGTTTCCACCTCCCAGGCTCAAGCAATCCTCCCACCTCAGCCTCCAGAATAGCTGGGACTATAGGCATGCACCATCACGTCTTGTGATTTTTGTATTTTTTGGTAGAAACAGGGTTTTGCCATGTTGCCTGGGCTGGTCTTGAACTCCTGAGCTCAAGCGATCACCCCATCTCGACCTCCCAAAGTGCTGGAATTAGAGGCATGAGCCATCCTGCTCGGCCCTCACAGTATTTGTTGGACTTGATCTTATTTGTAGCTTTTAGAGTATGTTGTAGACTCTGTCTTCCATTTCTCCTGTGTTGTACAGGAATGTTCTCAGCATCTGTGTGCTAACTTGCATTGAAATGAATCCCAGAGGCTCATGTGTTTGCCTTAGTACTCTCAAAAGAACAACTTAAACAAAGATAACAGTCATGGAGTCAGCAGTCCTTCCAAGACTGAGTAGAAAACAGCTGCATTGATAGCCTTGGGACATTTCTACTGATTACCAATTTTTTCTGTTGAATTAATGGAAAAGCAGTTCTCCCTTTGAAGGCGCTGTTGTGGAGGTCTAGATTTTCCCTTTCACTCTAAAGCACTGGTCTCAGAGGGCTAGCAATTAAATCACTAACCAAGTGGTTAATGAGGTAAACTGAACTCTGAACCTGGGCCATGTCCCAGGCAAGGGGTTATAACTTAGAAACAATTTGATTATAGATTCCCCTTGCATTCTCATTTAGTGCTCCTCTTGGCTATTTTAAAGCTTCATCTTACTCGAGGTATCTGCCCTGTTCTGTCAAAATTCTTAGTTGCTAGCTAGTGGTCTTATATGAAAGTCTGATTCATTGCACATTTTCTACCTTTTCTCATGTTTCTAATGTTCCCCACCAATCTGATCTAAACATCATAAGCAAATCATTCCAAAGGAATATTAATGTTTGCACAGAGGGAAAAGGAGTTCTATCAACTGGCATTTGTGTCCTAATCCATAACTTCATGTTCTATGGCCCTCATTTGTTTCATCATCTCCACTCCTCCTAGTGTTTCCACTTCCTGGTCTCCTCCCCTGTCTCCAACATGAAAACTCACCTAAAGAGCCATCTTCAGAATGCCGTCCCGGAATCCCTGACTATGGGAGATAATGAATTCTACCTCCCCTGAAACCTCATTATGAGTTATTTACACATTGCTTATAATGAGTGTTTTTGTCTGTTCTGTGGTATGGATATTTTGAATTGACCGCCCTTCTCCACCCCTGCAGGCACTGTTTGAATGCTCTTTGAAAACATTTATTTTTATTTTAAAGTACAGTTTTCTCATACTAAATAATTTTTTTTTTTTTTTTTTGAGACGGAGTCTCGCTCTGTCGCAATCTCGGCTCACTGCAAGTTCCGCTTCCCGGGTTCACGCCATTCTCCTGCCTCAGCCTCCCGAGTAGCTGGGACTACAGGCGCCCGCCACCGCGCCCGGCTAATTTTTTGTATTTTTAGTAGAGACGGGGTTTCACCTTGTTAGCCAGGATGGTCTCGATCTCCTGACCTCATGATCCACCCGCCTCGGCCTCCCAAAGTGCTGGGATTACAGGCGTGAGCCACCGCGCCCGGCCAATAATTTTTATTTTAAAAGTCATGTAACATATATACTTGGTAAAGAGTATAAACAGAATGAAAAAGATATATAGTAAAATATAAATGTCCCTCCTACTTCAGACTCCAAGTTACCTTCAGTAAAGCAACTACTGTTAAGTTTCCCATTTGTACTTGTAAAAAATTGTACTATGCCTACAAATACATGACATAATGCTATGCCATAAGTTTACCTTTTCCAATTAACAATTCATAATTTATAAACTTTTTTCACACTACCACATATTGATCTCTCTTGTGATTTTAGCAGACGTACTACATCCCATTGTATACAGACAGGTACTATACGTCATTGAAACAGTACCTTGTTAACTACTTTTAACTTGTTCCCAGTCTTTTTTTTTTTTTTCTTTTTAAACAGAGTCTCACTCTTGTTGCCCAGGCTGGAGCACAATGACACGATCGCGGCTCACCACAACCTCCGCCTCCCAGGTTCAAGTGATTCTCCTGCCTCAGCCTCCCGAGTAGCTGGGATTACAGGCATGCACCACCACATCCAACTAATTTTGTATTGTTAGTAGAGACAGAGTTTCTCCATGTTGGTCAGGCTGGTCTTGAACTCCCTACCTCAGGTGACCCACCCGCCTCGTCCTCCCAAACTGCTGGGATTACAGGCATGAGTCACTGAACCCAACCTTTCCAATCTTTTGACATTAGTAATAATGCTGCAATAAAATTAGTTTATTGTTTTTAATGCACATATGTGAGTATAGCTTGGAGGAAGATCCTGAACTTCAGGTGAGATTACAGCTCTGGCCAATAATTTGATTACACCTTTGTGAGACCATGAGCAGAGAACTCATCTGATCTGTGTCCAGACTTCTAAACCAGGAAAACAGTTGTGGCAATTTGTTACATAGCAAGAAAAAACTAATACAACCCAAAAGGAAGGGAGCAGAAAGGTATTATAAATTAGTGGTTATCAGCGGATACTACAGAATCAGGCCTAGGTTTTATCCCCAGGAATGTTACCTAAAGTTAAACAGATGGTTATCTCAATATAACAAATTGTTATACTAACTTAGTATTTGTATAACTTTAGATAACATCCCTGATTCTTAGTGTCTTCATCTGAAAACAGGCACGCAACACTTACACTCAATGATTGCTATGAACATTAATAAACTAATGTAAGTTATATATTTAATATAATATTTTACATACTGTAAATGTTCAAATTATTGCAGCAATGCAATAATTTAATAATTAAATAATTATTTAAATAAAAAGTTTTTATTTCTAGGTTTTATTTTTTGATTGTTAATATCCATAGTCCATATTATACCAACCCTACAGGATTTGTGGGCATATCTAAGAGCAGTTATGGCTCTAAAAAATAATTTTCTGAAATGTTACATTTTCTAATTATATATCTCTCAGATTTAAAGTACCCAAAGCTTGAATCTGGCTGATAGAACTAAATGAATCATCATCAAATGCATTCCAAAAGTGTTGATAAAGATGACTTTACAACAGTTAGTTAATTTTTTACCCCAAACACATGTAGTCTCCATGAAAACGAGTCTTCCTACAATCAAATTCTCCTTCTTTTTTTTTTTTTTTCGTTTTAGAAACAGGGTCTCGCTTTGTCGCCCAGACTGGAGAGCTCACTGCAGGCATGATGTCCCAGGCTCAAGCAATCCTCCCACCTCAGCCCCTCAAATAGCTGGGACTACAGGTGTGCACCACCAAGCCCAGCTAATTTTTGTAATTTTTGTAGTGACAGGGTTTTGCCATATTGCCCAGGCTGGTCTCCACCTCCTGGTCTCAAGTCATCCACCAGCCTTGGCCTCCCGAAGTGCTGGGATTACAGGTGTGAGCCACCACACCGAGTCATCCCCTTCTTAACTATGGACCTAATTAATGTATTGAATGAAAAATGACTTGAGGAGTTTGGTCCATGTATAAGAGATTAATGATCAGTATCAAGCCTATGAATAGCCTTGAATGCAATCTTAGAGAAGTTAATCTTCATCCTGAAAGTCACAGTAAGCCATAAAAGAATTTTAAGAGGAAGAACCACAGTATGCCTTATGTGATAGATTACAAAAATGGGAACAAAATTTTGTAGCTTGTCCTAAAGGGTGTAATATATCTTCCCTCTTGCCCCAAGTTTGAGGTGGGTCAGGTAAGTTGTTTACCCGTTGGAACATCTGTAAAATTGACACAAAACAAAGGCCTGATATGTGTTCATACACTCAAGTTCTGTCTCTTTTGCTTTCTTAGAGACCATGCCCCATGGGGAAAGACCACAATAGGATGTTAAAAAATCAAGTGGAACAGAAACTAGGTTTCCCAGCCAAGGCCCTTCAAAACCAATCATGCCCCAGGCGACCTCACGTATGACTGTACGAGTAAGCCTACCATAGTCCACTCCATATTCCAAGACATAAACATATGAGCAAATAAATGGCTATGATTTTAAGTTCCTAACTTTTGAGGTTGTTTGCAGCAAAAGCAGATAAAACACTGTTGCTTTTTCTCAATAACAAATAAAAAAATAAAAATAACTCCAATTAAAATCCGAATTTACTAATTTATATTTTTTTCTTTTTTAGACTCTCATAATGCTTATATTTTCAAGTTTAAAGACAACATCTAGCTTTAAGCAACCTCTCAGTCTCTTATATTTAAAATTATATATATATATTAACTTATGTACATCTAGACTTATTCCAAAATACTTTTTGCAATACAAATTATTTGAGAGACTAAGAATAATTTTTTTGGAACACACGCACACACACACACACACACACATATATATGTGTTTATATATATAGAGAGAGAGAGAGAGACAGAGAGAGCATATTTGTAAGGTATCTTCTGTTGACTAATTTTCTGTTAACTAATTGTTCATTAAGGAAGAATAATGAATTATATTCATGATCTCTCTGGGTAAGTTTTAGGTATCACAAATTGCCACTGTGTGACTAAAGTTCTCTAATTTTTAACTAGCTTTATAATGAAAATTTCTCAAAATATTTAAAAAAATTTTTTTAATTCAAGAGACATTATTGAATTCTTTGGGTAAAAAGCAAAAATAAAACAGCGATATTTCCCACCTACTTCTGAAAAATTTTGCGATGTTAGGCAATGAATCAGGTAGATGGCAGATAAAAATAGCATCTTTGGAAACTGCTGCTTTTGGCCAAAAGGGAGTACCAGGGACAGAACTTGCCCTCCCATCATAAACAACGATAAAACTTAGAAAATATGTGAAACAACATGGTTCAGATATTGGATAGTGGGCAGCTTAGGATGTGACTCCTGGAATAAAAAGAAACAAGGTAGACCTGACAAATTCACCGCATGCTTCTCTGAATCATTTTTCAAGTTTGCAGCAAAACCATGGGAGGCCCAAACATAGCCTTGCAGTCTAATTATATTAAGAAGAAAAAGATTAGAGTTTGAGGAAGATAGAATTTGGGAAAAGGGTACCAAAAACCAAGAACTGTGCACACAGAGAGGTCCAGAGATTGAGAGGGGCATTTTTGAGTTTTCGGCTGAGCAACAATCTGAGCTTGCATAAAAAATAACTACCTAGGTTTAGAGAATATATCAGGAAGAAAACCATGAGAAAAAAGTAGGCAACAATGCATGGACTTCAAAGGGGCTGTAAAGGGTTTATCTTTCCACCAACGGAATGGAAAGATACTGCAAAATATGGAGCATCAAGTAAGATCTCCAGAAGTTTATCTCCTTAATAGCATGCATACATGGCCCTAGATTAGAGGTCCAACCATAACAAAGCTTTTAGAAAAGCAGTTGTATAAATACACAACTGATTTCAAATAATTTAACTGTATTTCAGCAAAAAAATCTAACAACCAAAAATGTAAATTCACAATGTTCAGTATCCAATCTGAAATTGCCAATCATTCAATGATGCAAGAAAATATGATCTATAGTTAGCAGAAAAATCAATTAATAAAAATAATCCCAGAAACAATAGATGATGAGAGTAGACAAGGACAATTAAAGAGCTTTGATAAATATTTCATATGTTTAAGATGGTAGAAGAAAGCCAGAGCACAATGAGGAAAGACACAAAATGTTTTTAAAAGACACAAATAAGATTTATAGAGATTAATATATCTGAAGAGAGAAATTTACTCGATTGAATTAACAGCAGACTTAGAGAGAACATTTAATGTTAATGTTATATCTAGCATTTAATGTTTATATTACAGAAAAGAAGGGCCTCAAATAAAGGATCTATACTTTTACTTTAAGAACACCAAATTACCCATAACTTGAAATAATTCTATGGAGAAAATAAAGAGAAGAACTAAGTGGAATAGAAAATTTACAACAATGTTAAAAACAAAACTAAAAGCTAACTTTTTCAGAGAATTAAAATGAGAGCAGGAAAAGGAAGACAGAAACATTAATGATGGGGTGTAACTTCTGATCCTGTAAATGTTAGTAGCTAACAAGATGAATATTATAACAACTTTATGTCAGAGTTGAATAACTTTGAAGGAATAGTTTCTTTGAAAAATACAAAGGATCCAATCTCACTCTAGAATAAATAGATAGCCTAAGTAGTTTGATATGTATTTACAAATTGAATTTTTAGTTTTGAACTTTCCTACAAAGAAAACCCCAGGCCCAGAGAGCCTCATTGATGATTTTTTTGTTTTTTTTTTTTTGAGACAGAGTCGTGCTCTGTTGCCCAGGCTGGAGTGCAGTCGTGCAATCTTGGCTCACTGCAAGCTCCACCTCTCGGGTTCATGCCATTCTCCTGCCTCAGTGTCCTGAGTAGCTGGGACTACAGGCACCCGCAACCATGCCTGGTGAATTTTTTGTATTTTTAGTAGAGATGGGGTTTCACCGTGTTAGCCAGGGTGGTCTTCATCTCCTGACCTCGTGATCCACTGGCCTCGGCCTCCCAAAGGGCTGGGATTACAGGCATGAGCCACTGCGCCTGGCCCTCAATGATACATTTTACCAAACATTTAAGAAAACAAAATTATACCAATTCTACAGAGTCTTTCAGAAAACACTAGTGGAAACACTTCCCATTTCCTTTTATGAAGCTGGGATTACACTAATATTAAGACTATTCAAAGATATTATAAGAACAGAAAATTACCAACCAATATTCTTTGATCCCATATCCATACTTGCCATACATAATGCATTTTAAGATTTTAGAAAATTAAATCCAGAAATATAGACACAAAAGAACAAGTGGGGCTTATATCAGGAATGCAAAACTGGTTTAATACTTTAAAAAAATCAAGCAATGTAATTTGCAATGTCAACAGATTAAAAAAGGGAAAACCTTACAATTATCTTAATTGATGCAGGAGAGGGATTTCAGGAAAACCCATCAACTAATCAGGTAAAATCCCTCAGCAAACTGCTAATTGAAGGGGACCTTTTAATGTGATAAGGAAATCTGATCTCATATTTTTATTCATTATTTGCCTGGATTCCTAGCTAGAGAAAAATGAAAATATAATTAAAAGGCATACGTCTTGTAAATAAAATAATAAATTATTTTTATTTGCAGGTGATATGATTGTCTATCCAAAAAATCTTAAGGAATTTACAAAAAAGCTATTAACACTAAAGTGGTATTGGCAAGTTCATAGATTTCAATAAACCAAAACCAATTATATTCCTATATACCAGCCATAAACATTTGGAGCTTGACACTTAAAATACATTTCTGACAAGATCAAAAAATAAAATACGCAGAGATAAGCTTAGCAAAATATGTACAGGACCTATAAACTGAAAACTATAAAACATTTTAGCGAGAATGGAGATAGATACTATGTCCAAGGTTCATAAATAACGAAAAGATATACTATGTTCAAGTAGCAAAAGAATGAACCTTGTTAAGATGCTAATTCTCTCCAAATTCATCTATAGATTTAATATAGTACCAATTAAAATTTCAGCAATTGATTTTAGAAATGAATAAACTGGTTTGAAAATTTAGAATAGCCAAAACAATTTTCTTAAAGAAAAAGGTAAAGGACACACTACCTTATTTCAATACTCACTCTATAGATACAATAACCAAGGCTATGTTATGTGAATAAGGATAGATATATAAATAGGCCAGAACTATGTTTCAGAAATATATCCAAAATAGATGTTCAACTGATTTTTAATAAAAACACAAAATAGCCAATTATAAAAAATTTATAAACTGAAGATCAAAATAAATATGTTACCTTTTAAAAGTCATCATTAAAAAATGAATTGGCAGCAACACAGAGAGAGAATGTTTTCAAAACATGTACATGACCAAGAATTTATATCCAGAATATATTGTCCTATAACTTAAAAATAAAAAGCAAAGAACTCTATTAAACAAATGAAGATAATTTTGAATAGATATTTCACCAAAAGGTATACATAAATTGTAAATAAATATATGAAAAGAGAGTCAAGGTCAGTAGTCAGTAAAAAATTTAAAATTAAAATCAAAATGAATACCAAAAAATTAGAAGGACTGATAATATTAAGTGTTGGTGAAGATATGAAGACAGCTTGATTGTGGGAATGGAAAATGGTACAACCACTTTAGCAAACAGTTTGGCAGATTCTACTAAAGTAAAACATAAACTTATCTTAGGATTCAAAAATACCACTTCCATATGTTTACTCAACAGAAATGAATAACATATTTATGCAAAGTCTTATTATTAAATATTTATTCAAAAACGCACATCCTGGAAGCAACTCAGATATCCAACTGGTATTTAGACACAAAGGAAGGAACTATTAATAAAAATAACAACATGGATGTACCTCAGAAGCATTATACTAAAGGAAATAAATCAGACACAAAAAGACGATACATTGTGTGATTCCATTTATGTGAAATTCTGAAAATGTCAAAAAAAGAGGGAAAAAATAAGATCAGTCACTGATAGGAGCAAGGATTACAGGAAATCTATTGATTATACAGGGCTATGAGAGAACTTTTTGGGTTAATGCAAATGTTATATATGGTAATTGTGTTAGTTAAACAACTATACACATTGGTCAAAACACACACATATACTTTAGTGATTGTTTATTTTAGGTAAATGATACTTATATAACTTTTTATTATTATAAAATAAGGCTGATAAAAATATTACCTAAAATACTGAAAAAGACTAAATAAAAGCTCCAATTGAGTTCTCTATCTGAAGTCTGGAAGTCAACTTATCTTCCCAGCCAGTCATAGGCAGTGCTGGGCTAGTGCAGGCTTTTCCTCCCAATAGTGGGGAAGCGTACTAGGGTAGGACTTACTACATGAGGAAAGAAGAATTCCTGCTGTTGGGCACATGCAGTTCACAAGAAAGGAAATGTAAGAGCTGAGCTCAATTGAGGAAGTCCAGATTTTTCTGGTCAGTTTCATCAGTCAGATAAACCAGCCCACTTCCCAGAGGCATAATGAGTTAGGTGGTACAGACAAGTGTAGAGGACAAAAAAGGTGAGGCATTATCCACACAGAAGGAAACAGGGATGGGAAAGAAGCAAACATGCAGCGTGAGTAATCAGCAACTCACATTTAGTTGCTTTTATCTCCGTTTACATCATCTGTTTTCTACTGATGTAAGCCCATCATTTCAGAATGTTATGGCAATTCATTTTCTTAGCTGAAATGCATATTTTCCCTACTGTTAGCAAGCTGGCGTTAACCTGTAAATATTGTAGGATTACCCCAAAGTGAGGTTGTATTGTTGGACCACTACCTGAATTATAATGTTTTTCTTTTCAGTAAACCCCATGAATATCATTTGAGATAATACTTTGGAAGGCATTCGACTAAAGAATAAGGTTATTGTCTCAAAAGGATGACTTGGTCTTCTTTCTTTTACTTTCAATGGCAAAAACCGCAAGTACTTTTGCACCAACCTAAGATTTGTGGCCAATACGTGTTCTGTACTGAAGAAGCCAAGTTGATCTCTTCAGAAAAAATCTAACTAGTATAAATTTTATTTCATCTTAGATGGTGGATCTTATGATAGATGGTAAAGACTTCTGGTAAGAGGTTGACTTTACTAATTTTTTCTTACCCACTTAAGTTTGAGTATAGTTTGTTCAAAAGATAAGAGAGAGCTACACATACATTATTGAATAAAAAAGTAGAATAAAGAAATGAGGCAAATTCAATATTGAAACTTTTTTTTAATAATTCTCAGTTTATAAGTCTCATCTTTTTTTAAATTTTCCCTCTCCTTCAGTCCATTACCTCCCCATCTCTCTGTGTCTGTCTCTATCTCTCTGTCTTTCTCACACATACACATACTTGATTGCGGGAATGGAATGTTGATGTCTTTGGACTAGTAGACTAGATAAGCTTAGTTCATTTATATTAAAAAAAAAAACCTGCTGAATCAGAAGCGTTGATCACTTTCAAAGATTCTTTCTTAGCCCCAGCTAGTCAAAATTATTATTTTCCCTACTTTGGCCATATTTCCTTAGCTTTAATTATTAATACCTATATTTTTTACATTTTAAAAATCCTTCAATTATTCACAGGAAGAAATAATAATCATTTTGAAAAATGAAATGAAAATTTATATTTTGACTAATAACACTTCGGGGAGAAGTTTTTAAAAAAATATTTCAGTTGTTGAAAGTGTTATTATTTCAGCTAGCCTTCTCGAGAAGCTACCCTGGTTGATATACATATAGGTAGGTAGGTAGGTAGATAGATAGATAGATCGATAGATAGATAGATAGATAGATAGATAGATAGATAGATACTATAGAGATAGAACATATAGCCTATAAAACCTAATAGTCTTGACTTCTCTCTGTGAAGAAAGACACTTTATTTTATCAGTATTGAATCTTAGCATTATTTTCCATTAACTTATCAAAGACCTTATGAGCTTTCTCAAGACCACTCTAAAGATTAAAGACTAAAACCCCTCAAGAAGATGAATAATTATCTCATAATGAGTGATTAACTGGATATATATTTATGATAGAAAGAATTACTTTGACTATAACTTATATAGCTTTTCATTTCAAGAATATTTTACTTCTAAAATATATTTCCCAGAACAATAACTATTTAAGATTTCCAACAAAGATGTTTTTGGGAAATATTTTTGGAATATAAGAAAAGCACAGATTCTCTAATTCTAAAATGCTGGATAATTACCCTTCTTTCAATGTAATTTCTTAGTTTAATTAGCAATATTTATTAAATGATATGGCTAATACATACTATCTACAGACCCAAGAAGTTTATTTTGCCCTCATATGAGAAACTAAGACAATTTAATAGAAGAGAAAGAAAGAGATTTAGTGTACTTGGAGCATTTGAATTACAATATAGTTTGGGTCTGCATCCCTGCCCAAATCTCATGTCAAATTGTAATTCCCAGTGTTGGAGGTGGGGACAGGTGAGAGATGATTGGATCATGGGGCCAGATTTCCCCTTTACTGCTGTTCTCATGATAGTGAATGAGTTAATCACAAGATCTGGTTGTTTAAAAGTGTGTAGCACTACCCCTTCCTACACTTCTATCCTCCTCTGGCCATGTGAAGAATGCCTGCTTCCCCCTTCACCTTTGTCAAGATTGTAAGTTTCCTAAGGCCTCCCTAGCCATGCTTTCTGTCTAGCCTGCAGAACCATGAGCCAATGAAACCTCTTTTCTTTACAATTTACCCAGTCTTCAGTATTTCTTTACAGCAGTGTGAGAATGGACTAATACAAATTAATAATGAAAATGCACATTTTATAAGATAATTGTAACTATGAAACTTTCACAAAAGTATACTCTTCTGCCAGTGTCAAACCTAAAACCTAATTGTACTCATTGTTTTCTTCTTAGTTGTTGCTGCCTAACCTACCAATTTAACTAAGAAGACTAATTTTGGTGACCATTAAATGATTTAGTGTCTTCACAAAGAAAACAAAAAAATTAACATCATTATTTCTCAACATTTACCAAAGAACTTTGGAAGAAATATAAGTTAAATGCAGGATTAGTTTCAACAACATATGCAAATTATCCTTCTAAAATACATCAAGCAACATCAGGAAGACACCTAGTCTCTATTTGAATAAAATTCTCAGAGTTCATCCAAGCAAAACCAGATTCTCCAAAACAACTTTGAATCAACTCTAAGCTGAAAATAGGAACACTTTTTAAGGTACCTAAACCTTAAGGAGAGCTGAAAGTACTTAACCATATATAGAACACAAGTGGTATCATCTTAGATAATTTGTCACAATAAGCTAGTAAGAGAGCTCTTACAAATTTATTTTATAGCCACTGAATGCTATGACATTTTCTATTTTGCTTCAAAAAAAACGTTGAAGTTGTTAGTTGCTTCCCCCCACCTTTTTTTCTTTTCAGAACTAAGGAAGTGTGAAATGGAAGTTGGGAAAATTGCTGAGAACAGCCCACTAGCCCTGCCAAAAGAACATCCCGGGGGATACAACTTCTGTTCTTTAGAGCAAGGCTTGCTATTTAGGAAGTTGGCTCACCTGCTGGAGTTGGGGGACGTATTAGGCAGACAGATGTTAGTGCCTCTAAAAGTTGCAATCTGAACAGACAGTTTTAAGGGCTGGAGCATTAGCTAAAGAATGGCTTGAAGGGCACTGAACTTGTTGACCTATTTTGAAGTTTTTTATATTCTCAAGACACTAGTCATTTTTTATGAGATAAGAGCGAAAAAATGATCATGTCCAATATTTTTTCACTAGTTTAAGCCAGCAAATGTGTTTTTTCTATTATTTTACTTGTTGTCTTGCATGCTTTCAACTTTATTGCTTTTGAAACTACTTTAATGTATTTAACAGAGGGTCTTTGTTGAATATTCACTGTCATGGCGACTGGAATGTTTACAATTGTCCAATATTTGAGAGTGATTTTAAGAAAAAAAAAGTTTGAGGAATTGATTCCTATGTGTTAAAGACAGTCTTGTTTGAATAAAGGAAGATATTTCAAGTCATTGTTCCTCATGTGTTCATGGCTGTTGGCTCCAATTGGCCACTATTTCAAAAACCTGGAGTCCCATCATGGTGTTAATTCATTCATTCATTTAAGAAATACCGTTTAAGATTCTACTATAAACCAGGCACTGTTCTGAGTACTGAGAATGTATTCATGGGAGATGGGGAGCAAAAATCCATGCCCTCATGAAGCTAACATATTTGTGGGGCTAGAAAGACAAGAAACAAACAAACAAAAATATTGTGTAGTGCAATAGGAGGTTAAAAATTAAAATGGCACCAAATTGGGTAAGGTGGAAGAGCTATGGGAAAGGCTGAAATTGTGGATAAATGACCTGAGTAGCATTTTTGAGAAAGAAAAATCTGAGCACATAATCAAAGGAGTGGAGGAAGTAAATTCTGCAGATATGTGAAGAAAAGTTCTTCCAAGCAGAGAGAACACAATGTAAAGCTCCAAGAATGAAGTGTGCCTGGCAAGCTTAAGGAGCAGCAAAGGTGGAGCAGAGTGAGTAAGAAGAGGGTAGCAGTGAATTGTCACTGGTGCCAATACCATTATTGAGATTTCATATTTACCCTAAAACAACCGGAATCTCATTGAGGGGTTTCGCAGAGATGTGTGACATAATCGATACACATTTTGATAGGATGTTTTGAGAATAAACTCTAGGGAGACAAAAATGGGAGCTGGAAGACCAGTTGAGAGTCTATGGCAATAGCTAATGCCAGATATTATAGTGCTTGGAATTAAGATAGAGCAATGAAGGGTAATTAGTAGATGGTTCTGGATATATTTTAAAGGTAGAGTTAACTCTGCTGGAGTAAATGTAGCATGTGGGTGAAATAAATATTTTTGGCTGGAACTACTGGTGAATAAAGTTGCCAGCAATTAACATAAAAAGTTGTAAGTAAAACAGGGTCAGGGAATATGATTTAAGATTTGGCTTAAATATTTTAATTTTGAAATGTCTAGATGTCTACAGACTTTCTATTAGAAATAAGAGGAGATGTCAAGTAGGCAGTAGGATACACAAGTATGGATTTCAAGAGAGAAATCAAGGAAATATATTTGCAAATAATCAGCAAGATATGGTATTTATGGAGATTATAGGAGTCTCCAAAGGAATTATAATTACAGACAGAAGAGAAGTGGTCTAAAGACTAAATCCTAAGGACCTCCAATATTGATAGAAACTGAGAACAAGTATCTGCAAGAAAGGAAGGAAGAAAATGAGGAGAACGTGACCATTTAAAACCCAAGTAACAAAAGCATTTCTTGGTGAAGGGAATCATAAAATGTTTCTAATTTTGCTTTTAGGTCAAGTAAAATAAAGACAGAATTCACTGTCAGATTTAATAATGGGAAACTCACTGGTGAGCTGAAATAAATAAAAAGCCTCACATAACTCTGCAAGTGATTTATACGTTTACAAGTTTTCTTTTATGATAAGTACAAAACAATGCACTAGTATTCTGAAAAATGCATTTTATTGTATTAGTTTACTAATTGCTGAAATAATCTCGCATTCTAGTTAAGCTATTGATGTTCCCTCTGTTTGAAAAGACAAAAATAGTACTGACTTTGCACAGTTAAAGGCGTGAGCTTGAATCTTCATTCTTGAATTTATTAGTTCAGTTAGTGAACAAAATTATTTTACCACCTAAAAATTCAATTTTAACTATAAACGAGAATCATATGCAGTTTATAGGGCTGTTATAAAAATTAGATGCATTGCATTCAGAGACTTAGCAAAGATTACTTTAATGTATTCTATATGATAACAAAATAACATGGAGTAGTTTATCCAAAATCACAGATTAGGCATAATCATTTATCACCTTTTCCTCCTGAGATGTCATTACCTTGACAATAAAAGAATAAAGGGAATAAATATTCAACAACAATAAAAGAAAAGAATGGGAGTTAGGTCTGAGCAGAAAAGATAATATGACATTTTTCTGGAGCTTGTGAAACTAGAGTAGATGGAGGAATAGGAAGTAATAAAGCAGGGTAAAGGGAACTGCAGCCTAGGGTGTATGTGGTACATGCCATTGTTCCAGGTAATTATATTTAGCACATTTATTAATCCTAAGAGCAGTCCTGCAAGTAATGTTAGTATCTAGTAAGTGTCTAGTATCTAGTAAGTTAGTAAATGGTACGGCTAAGATTGGATTTGTTTTCTTCCTAAATCTCACTCCATGATAATGTCAAAAGACCCAACAAAGCTATCACACACACACAAACACAATGTGTCTATTGGGTTCAGAGATTTTTAGATGCTCATATATTTGAAAATACAAGTTTTTTCACAATGAGAAACCTTAGCCTTTGAATGCCCTACCTGTTTGAATTTCTCTCTGTTTTTTACCTAATTAATTTAAAATGGAAACAGAATCAATCACTTTTACTCAAATTCAGTGTTTTAGACAGGTGAGGTAAATATAACTAGAAAAAGAAAATGTACTATCAATAGTAAACCCCTTGGACTAACTACTGTACAAACTGAAAGAGCAATAATGTGCAAAACCAGAAAAGAGAAAAGGACATGTTGGAACATTAGCAAGAGCACTAAAGTGATTAAGAAGTGTCAAAGAGGGATGCTGAGTAAGATATCTGGTATTTAGCTGTCAAGGTACAACTAAGTGAGTCAAATTAGCCTTGAATAATATAATGTGAGTGACAATCAATTTACTTTCCTGAAGGAAAAGAATGTGGATAAGAGATTGGTTGATTGAAGACAAACTCCTATATCACATAAGATATCAATCTCTTTTTACTTCAAAATTCTAGAGATTTGCTATATTCTGAAACACATCCACTCTTCTCATCTACGCTACTATTCTTTTTTAATGTCTGCTACCATGATAGTCAACCTAACAATATTCAGTATTATTTGAATTATTCAATTTAAACAAACAGCATGCACATTTTTAATGCTGACATTTATTTATGAAGATAACAGCAGAAGAGAACCTTTATGAAGGCTATTGGGCAGTTTTTGTTCAAGTTTGGTGGATACTGTTTGAAATTATATATAGGATTCATAAATTCAAATTTTTCAGGATATCCAAAAAATGACCAGTTGGGTAGCACAGACTTATGGATTTAAATGCTAGCAAGCCATTAAATTAAATTAAATTAAATTTGATGCTTGCCTAATCACCTTTTATTCCTTCTAAAAACTGCTTTTTTTAAATTTTCAATATATAATTCCTAGATCAATTCTTTATTATGAATAATTTTTAGAAAACATACACATTGAATATTTTAAGGTATATATTATTCTTTAAATTATACTAGTTGCTGATTGCCTCCTCTGTATACCAAGGTACCTGGACTTGATCACAATTTGGAATCACTGATAATAGTGGGAGTAGTAGTGGTAATGGTAGTGCTAATATTAGTGATACTAATACTTGTATTCACTTGCTATAAACTGGGCACTATTCTAAATCTTTACATATATTAATTTATTTAATGCTTATAAATAATCCTATGAGATAGAAACTATATTACATGTGAGAAACAGAGACAGACAGGTTAAGTAATTTGCATAGGTTCACAAAGATTGTTAGTAAAGGAACTAGATTTCAATTCCTACCATTCTAGCTACTAAACGTTGCTGCTTCAAAAGAAAATATATATCACTTTTGGGATTTAAATTATTATACATTTATTTTGAAAACATGGCTTGCATCTTCAAACATGTGGAAATCCACCAATAATTATGAATTTTAGCAGTATTCTCAATAATACTCATTTGTTCTGACCATTATAATATCTTTATAAGAAAAAATTTGTCTAATAAACAGATGAACCCTCTAGTAATAAACCTGGCAAGGCTTGTGGGTTACCTTGACTTTATTGACATAATCTACAGAAAAAAACTTCAATTTGTAATTATGATGAATTATATTAGCATTCTGGTTACTGAATAAATCCTTTCTTCCTAGAACAAGTCTTATATGTTAGTAAGGTATTTTTGTCTCATTATTTGATTCTTTTGCAAGGAATTTATTTAGGTTATCCTACTTATAGAGTGATATTTTTATTGGATGACAACTTGTTTGACAGTCTTATTGGATTTGGGTATTAAATGTATTCTGCCTTTATAAAATGATTATATAACTTTCCATTTTTCCCTGATGATTTAAAGTATTTCAAATAATAATGAAAATGTATGTTCTTAATTCAAAATAATAAGAACCATCTATGGCAAACACACAGCCAACATCATACTGAATGGGCAAAAGCTGGAAACATTCCCCTTGACAACTGGCACAAGGCAAGAATGCCCTCTCTCCTCACTTTTATTCAACATAGTATTGCAAATACTGTCCAGGGCAATCATGCAAAGAAAGGAAGAAATAAATAAAAAGCAAGAAAGCAAGAAAGCAAGGAAGAAAGGAAGACACCCAAAGAGAAACACAGGATGTAAAACTATCTCTGTTTGCAAATGACATGATCTAGAAAAACCCCATGGTCTCAGCCCAAAAGCTTCTTAAGCTGATAAACAACTTTGCCAAAGTCTCAGGATACAAAATCAATGTGCTAAAATCACTAACATTTGTATACAGCAACAACAGTTGACGTTGAGAGCCAAATCAGGAATGTAATCTCACTCACAATTGCCAGAAGAGAATAAAGTACCAAGGAATACAGCTAACCAGGGACATGAAAGACCTCTGTAAGCAGAACTGCAAAACACTGCTCACAGAAATCAGAGATGACACAAACAAATGAAAAAAAAAATTCCATGTTCATGGATAGGACGAGTCAATATTTTTAAAATGCCCATAATGCCCAAAACAATTTATAGATTCAGTGCTATTACTATTAAAATACCATTAAGATTCTTCGCAGAACTAAGAAGAACTATTTAAATTTCATATGGAACCAAAAAAGCCAAAATAGCCAAAGCAAAACTACACAAACAGAACAAAGCAGGAAGCGTCATGCTACCTGACTTCCAACTATACTACAGGGCTACAGTAACCAAAAGAACATGGTACTGGTACAAAAAAAGACACACAGACCAAGGAACACAATAAATAACCCAGAAATAAGACCTCACATCTACAAACCATCTGACCTTTAACAAAACTGACAAAAGCAAGCAATGGGTAAAGGATTTCCTATTCAATAAATGGTGCTGGAATAACTGGCTAACCATATGCACAAGATTGAAAGTGAACCCCTTCCTTACACCATATACAAAAAGACTAAAGACTTAGATGGAAAACCCAAAACCATAAAAACCCTGGAAGACAATCTAGGCAATACCACTCAGGACATAGGAACAGGCAAATATTTCATAATGAACATGCCAAAAGCAACTGCAACAAAACCAAAAATAGGCAAATGGGATCTAATTAAACTAAAGAGCCTCTACGCAGCAAAGGAAACTATCAACAGAGTGAACAGAAAACCTACAGAATGGGAGAAAATGTTTGCAAAGTGTGTATCTAACAAAGGTCTAATATCCAGAATTTGTAAGGCACTTAAACAAATTTACAAAAAAAAAAAAAAACAAGAAAAGGTGGGCAAAGGACCTGAACAGATACTTTTCAAAAAATGGCATACATATGGCTAGCAAGCATATGATAAAAAAGCTTAACATCACTGAACATTAGATAAATGCAAATTAAAACCAGAATGATACACTGTCTCTCCTCAGTCAGAATGGCTATTAATAAAAATTCATAAAATTACACATGCTGGCCAGGTTGAGGAGAAAATGGAATGCTTATACACTGTTAGTAGGAGTGTAAATTAGTTCAACCATTTTGGAAGGCAGTGTGGGGATTTGTCAAAGACCTAGAAACAGAAATATCATTTGACCCAGCAATCCCATTACTGGGTATATACCCAAAGGAATATAAATTGTTTTATTATAGAGACAAATGCACACATATGTTGATTGCAGCACTATTCACAGCAGCAAAGGCATGGAATCAACCTAAATGCCCATCAATGACAGGCTGGATAAAGAAAATGTGGTACAATTATACCATGGAATACTATGCAGTCATAAAAAAGAACAAAATTTTGTCCTTTGCAGGAACATGATGGAGCTGGAGGCCATTATCCTTAGCAAACTAATGCAGGAACAGAAAACCAAATACTACATGTTCTCACTCATAGGTGGGAGCTAAATGATGAGAATGCATGGATACGTAGAGGGGAACAACATACACTGGGTATATTGAAGGGTGGAGGATGGGAGGAGGAAGAGGATCAGTAAAAAATCTCTAATGGGAACTAAGCTTAATACATGGGTGATGAAATAATTTGTACAGCAATCACCTGTGACACAAGTTTACCTATATAATGAACTGGCACATGTACCCTGAACTTAAAAAAAAAGTTAACTTTTTAAAAATAAATAAAACATACAATAAGGCATTGTTAACTGCAGTCACCCTATTGTGCTACTGAATACTAGATCTTATTTATTCTATCTAACTGTATTTTTATCTACATTAACAACCTCCACTATATCCCCTTCTGCCCACTACCCTTTCCATCCTCTGGTAGAACTATCATTCTACTATCTATCTCCATGAGTTCAATTTTTTTTAGTCCCTCATATTAGTGAGAACATGTGGTATTTGTCTTTCTGTCTTTAGTCTTACAGACTCCATTTCTTTCCAACTTATATAAATTAGCACCTTTCCTCTGTAAACTTCCCCTGATAATGCTTTAAACAGATCACCTTTCTTTAGAATTCCAACTAGCCCCATCTTGGGACAGTTTGGGACAGTCCTTCGTAGGAGTTTTCCTATCTCTAATTTGGGGTGAATTTAGCTGTGGATTCAGATACACTGAGTAAATACAGAGAATAGTTTCTCTATCCAAAAAATTCTCTGTACTTCACCTACCTCACTCACTCTCCTTCAAAGCCCTGGCAACTATTGGTCTATGACTAATCTTGAGTTAATTTTGTAAAAGTTGTAAGATCTTGTCTAGATTCATTTATTTTTGGCATATGGTTGTCCAATTTTTCTCACATTTGTTTTGTAGAGAAAACTATCTTTCTCCATGGAATTTCCTTTGTTCCTTTGTCAAAGATCAGTTGACTGCATTTGCATGGGTCTATTTCTGGGTACTCTAGTTTGTTCCATTGATCTATGTATCCTTTTTTTTTTTTTTTGCCACTACTAAGCTGTTTTGACTACAATAGCTTCATAATAAGTCTTGAAGTCAAGTCTCATTTGTTCTCAAATATTGTTCTTCTTCAATGTTCTGTTGGCTATTCTGAGTCCTTTGCCTTTCCAAGTAAACTTTGGAATCAGTTGGTTAATACCATAAAATTGCTTCTTGGGAAGTTGATTGGGATTGTATTAAATCTATAGATGAACTTGGGAAGAATTGGCATTTTAACAATTTTGAGTCTTCCAATTCATGGACATCAAATATCTCTATATCCTATTTTATTCATTTCATCAGAGTTTTGTAGTTAGCTATGCAAAGATCTTGTATACATTTTTTAATTTGTGCTTTATTTCATGTTTTTATGCTACTAAATATGGTATTGTGTTTTTAATTTCAAAATTATCATTGTTCACTGTTGGTATACAAAAAAGCAATCAACTTTTGTATGTTAACCTTGCATCCTATGACCTTACCATAATTACTTTTTACTGCCAGAAGCTTTTCTTCAATTCTTTGAGACTTCTACATAATCATGTCATGCATGAAAAAAGACAGTGCATTTACTACCTTCATAATCTGTATATAATTTATTTTATTATCTTATTTCATTATCTAGGCCTTCCAGTATGACATTGAATAAATGTAGTAAGAGAGTACATTCTTATCTCTAATGTTGCAAGAAAAGCATCCAGAAAACCTACATTAACTGCAGGTTTTTAGTAGACATTCTTTATTAAGTTGGGAAAGTTCCCTTCTATTTCTAATCTGCTGAGATGTTTTATCACTAATGACTGTTGGGTTTTGTTAAATACTTTTCCTTTATCAATTGATATGATTGTAGACTTTTTATTTCCTTATTCTATTGGTGTCGTAAATTACATTAATTCATTTTTAATGTGGAACCAACTTCAAATACATGAAATAAATCCCACTTTGTCATGGTGTATAATTCTGGCTAATATTTCATTAAGGATATTTGCATCTATGTTCATAAGAAATAGTGGTCTATAGTTTTCTTGTAATGTCTATCTAGTATTGTTATTAGGGTAATTATGACTTCTACTTTATGGAAGATACTGTAGAAAATTGACATAATTTCTTTCTTAAATGTTTAGTAGAATTCACCATTGAACCCAGTCAGCCCTGGTGCATTTTGTTTTGGAAGGTTATTAAATATTTATTCAATTTAATAGGTTTAGGACCACTCAGATTATCTGCGTCTCTTTGTGTGAGCTTTGGTAGTTCGTGTCTTTTGGGGTATTGGCCCATTTTACTTAAGTAATCAAATTTGTGGTCATAAAGCTGTTTGTATTTTTTGTCATTTTATTATCATTTTAATGCCTACAAATTCAGGAGTGATGACCTCACTTTTATTTCTAAAATTTGTGTGTTCTCATGTTTTTGTTTTTGTTTTGTTTTTCTTAGTCTGGCTAGAGACTTTTCAATTTCATTAATTTCAAATAACAGCTTTTAATTTTTTTTGTTTTTCTCTATTGATTTTATGTTCTTAATTTTACAGATTTCCACTCTAATTTTTATCATTTCTTCTGCTTGCTTTAGGTTTAATTGTGCTTCTTTTTCAGTTTCCCATTTTTTCCATTTCTTTTTGAAGTTCTATCAGCTTTTGCTTCAATAATTTTGAATTGTTTTATTGGGTTTATATATGCTAAGAATTGTTATGTCCGTCTGGGAAAGCATATTTATCAGATGAACAGTAAACTTCTCAGCAGAAATCTTATAAGCCAGAAGGTACTGGACTCCTGTCTATACTCTCCTTAAATAGAATAACTGTCAGCTAACAATGTTGTATCTAGAAAAACTAAGTTTAATAAATGAAGGAGAAATAGACTATTTTTCAGACAAGCAATTGCTGAGGAAATCTATCAGTACTACATCAGCTCCATAATAAATGCTAAAAGGAGTTCTAAATCTTGAAATAAAAGATCTATACACACCAGAATAGAAACTTCTGAAAGAATACAATTCACAGGGCTTAGAAAACAATAACACAACCAGAAAACAAAGTTACTAGGTAAAAGTCAACATGATGATTGAAACAGATCCTCACATATTAATATTAATGTTGAATGTAAATGATCTAAATTATCCTCTTAAAAAGACACAGACTGACAAAAGAGACAAAAAAAAAAAAAAATACAAGCCAAATATCTGCTGTCTTCAGGAGACACACCTAACAAGCAAATATTCTTATAGATTCCATGTAAAGGGGTGGAAAGTGATATTTTGTGCAAATGGAATCCAAAAGTGAGAAGTAAATTTCATAAAACAGACTTTAAATCAACAACAGTAGAAAATGACAGAAAAGATCATTATATATTGATAAAATAATAAATTCAACAAGAAGATATAAAAATCCTAAATATATATGCACCTAACTCCATAGCTCTCAGCTTCAGAAAGCAATTACTAGTAGAACTAAGAAAAGAGATAGGCAGCAACACAATAATAATGGGGAATCTTCACCACTCCATTCACAGTACTAGACAGATCCTCGAGGCAGAAAGTCAACAAAGAAATACTATATATATTATATATAACATATATATAATATAGTATTTCATATATATTTCATATATATAATACATATAGTATTTCATATATATAATATATATAGTATTTCATATATATATATACTGCACTCTAGGAAAAACAGACCTCATAGCTATTTACAACACATTCTACCCAAGAATATACATTTATCTCATCAGCACATAGAACATTCTCTAAGATAGACCATATAGTAGGCCACAAAACAAGTCTCAATAAATTTGAAAAAATCAAAATCATATCAAGTATCTTATCAGAACACAGCAGAATAAACCAGAAATTAATTCTAAAAGGAGTCCTTGAAAGTATACAACATATGAAACTTAAATAATCTGGTCCTAAATGATTATTGGGTTAATAATAAAATCAAAATGAAAATTTAAAAAAATTAAATGAGCAATTACAGTGATAAAAATTATCCAAACCTCTGGGAAACAGAAAAAGCAGTGCTAAGAGGAAGATTTATAGCGCTGAATGTCTACATCAAAAAGACTGAAACTTTTTTTTTTTTTCAAGATGGTGGACAGGAGGCAGTGTCAGCATGCTCTCCCACTTGGAAGGACAGAATAGTGGGTAGAGATTCATGCTGTAGTTTTTTTTTTTTCCAAGAATCACCAAAGGAACTTGACCAGGAAAGCCAAAATAAATCACAGAACCTTTGAAAGAAGCAGCATGCTGCAGCTACTCCAAGACACAGGTGAAAAACTGTAAGTTTCCAGAGTGTGAGAGGAGAGCTTGCCTTCAAACACACATCCCCAGTGAGGAATCTGAAAATGCAGATCACGGGAGAAGTCCTTAACCCTACCCAGAGCTGGAATGGATTTAGGGAGCAGCATGAAACTCCCAGCATTGGGAAGTGTCTTGTAGGAATTCCCAATCTCCAGCTTAAGTCCAGGAAAGCCATTCCTGACTATATCTCACAGGGGACTTCAGAGAAGTCAGCAAACAAACTCAAGGAGGGATCACAGGGTGAAAGAACCTCCCACCTGAATTTTATGTTATAATTTCAAGTGGGGATGAACTCCCTTGAACAGAACTGAGGGACAAGCTGGAAGTGTGCTGAACACATGAGCACAGGAGCTGGATTCCTGGCCTTGTGGACAGATGGGGAGGCGCATGGCATGAAAGCCCTGTTTGCTATCTCTGTGGGGAAGCTTATGGACTGAGGAAGTACTGAGTTCTGTGTGCAAGCTGCCAGGATCTAAACCTGGCACTGTTAGCAAGGCACTGTGGGAGTGAGACCAGCCTTGCAAACTTCATGGGAGCTGGGTGAGGCTTACTGCTGCTGTCTACACCCCACTCCCTTTGCAAACTCTTCTGCACAGCAGAGGCAGTTATAGTCCCCTCTGGAACATTATCCCAGCAGCCTGAGAACCACACCCCATCCCCCACAGTGGCCACAGCAAGCCCCGCCCAAGGAGAGTCTGAGCTCAGAACCACCTAACTCTGCCCCCACCTGATGGTATTTCTTTACCTTCCCTGGTAGCTTAACACAAAAGACACACAATTTTGGGAGATTTATGGCCCCACCTCTCACCGGAGGAACCAGAATACATCCTCTGGACAACTTGGGGCAAGCTCAAATCCCACCGCTACTACTGAAGCTGGTGTTTTCCTGGAAGCACCACCTTCTGGCTGGAGGCCAACCAACTCAGGCAATTACAGCACCTCTTGTCAGAATAACACTGAGCCCAGGAAGGAGAAAACAGCAGCAGGGTCTCAGCTAACATCACTGCTTGCTAATCAAAAGTCCTGACTCTGTCCATGTGACAAGTTCACTACTAAAACAACCAGCATTCTAGAAAGCCCACACACTAAGTCTATCTACAACCAAGAATTCTCACAGAGTCTATGTCACTCCCCTGCCACCTCCATCAGAGCAAGTGCTGGTATCTGCTGCTAGGAGACCTGAAAAGCCAGATAGCCCCACTGAGTGGCTAGACCCAGAAGAGTGATAATAAGCACTGTAGTTCAGCTCTAAGGAAGCCCTATTCATAGGGGAAGAGGGAGAGCACCGCATCAAGGGAACATCCCATGGGACAAAAGAATCTGAACGGCAGGCCTTGAGTCTAGTGGGAAGTTTCTTACAGCAGAGACACAATTGTAGTGCTGGGTGCAGTAGGGAAAGTCTGCACCTCTATCCTAATAGGCGGGCAATCTCTGTGATTGTGAAGGGCCTTAAAGAGGGGGTCCTTTTTCCCCTGCAGTACACCATTGAAGAGACAGCTGGGGATTCTCTCCAAAAACACAGCGTGGATACACCTTTAGACAGCCTTTCTGGAGCATTTCAGTGTGATGGAAGCCCCACAGGAGGAGCACTCCCCAGATTCAGATCTGAACAAAAGGCAGAATCACAGTTTCTCCCTACTTGGAAAATCAACATTTCTAAGGATGAAAAGAGGTACCTGTCTGATATGAATAACCAGAATACTGGGATAGGAGTGAGGCTGTGAAGTGGATAGCTTTCCTTCCTGGCATGGCAGGGGAGCTAAGGTAGCTCCCACTCTTCACTCTGATAAAACCTCAGCATATCTAATTGAGAGCACCCCCAGCGGCTTTCATCAAGGCTAGTACATCTCCCCACCATTGGATATTATATCTACCCACTTGCCTTATTTATAACCATTGCCTACCCAGGGATGCCTCCCTATTGGCCTGATGCCTGAATCATTGACTGAGTAAATAAAATACTGGGGATAAATTAAATAAATAAATACAGTGTACACAGTGAAAGAATGAGATAAGCTTCAAAAGATTCTTGCCATTTCAACCCCATAAAAGACAGTGTACTTGCCCACACACCAAGTACATAACTACTACAAACAGCATCTGGGAAAGTCAGTATACAAAGAGCCTCTATAACTAAAAAACTCATACAGAGTATTCACCCTTTAAACACCAAGAATCAAATTAGCCTAAAATGTACTATAAACGTTAAACTTAGATTTATAAGAAAGAAAAATAAAAAATAAACACAGTCCAATAAAAAATTTAAGAACAACTTTAAGAAATAATCTACCCAAATGAGAAGTCAAAAAGTAATTCTGGTAATATGACAAAATATGGTTCTATAACACCCCCAAAAGATCACACTAGCTCCGCAGCAATGGACCCAAACCATGAAGAAATCTCTGAAATGCCAGATAAAGAATTCAGAGGGTTGATTATTAAGCTACTCAAGGAGATACCATAGAAAGGTAAAAAGCAGCTTAAATAAATTTTTAAAAATCCAGGATATAAATGAAAAACTGTCCAGAGAAATATATATTATTAAAAAAAATCAGAACTTCTGGAAATCAAATATATAATTAGGAAAATATAAAATGCAGTGAAAGGTTTCAACAATAGACTAGAGCAAGACTAGAACTAGATGAATTTCAGACCTCAATGACAAGGCTTTTGGATTAACCCAATCATATAAAGACGAAGAAAAAATAATTTAAAAAATGAACAAAGTCTCCAAGAAATATGGGATTATGTAAAACAGCCAAACCTTTGAAAAATTGGTGTTCCTGAGGGAGAAGTCTCAAAGTTTGGAAAAATTATTTGAGGGAATAATTGAGGAAAACTTTCCTGGTCTTGGTAGAGATGTAGACATCCAAATACAAGAAGCTCAAAGAACACTTGGGGAATTCACTGAAAAAAGATCATCACAAAGGCCCATTGTCATCAGGCTATCTAAAGTCAAGACCAAGGAAGGAATCTCAAGAGCTGTGAGACAAAAGTATCAGGTAACCTGTAAAGTTAAAACCTATCAAACTAATAGCAGATTTCTCAGTAGAAGCCTTCCAAGCCAGAAGGGATTGGGGTCCTAACTTTAGCCTCCTTAAACAAGATTATTTTCAGTGAAGAATTTTGTATCCAGCAAACCTAAGCTTTATGAATGAAAGAGAAAGTCTTTTTCAGACAAATAAATGCTGAGGGAATTTGTCACTACCAGGCTAGCCCCACAAAAAATGCTACAAGGAGTTCTGAATCTTCAAGCAAAAGCTCGATATACACCACAAAGGAAACTTCATAATGCATAAATTTCACTAGGCCTACAAAAAAAAAACAATAAAAAAAAAAACAAAGTATCTAGGCAACAATTAACATGATGAATGCAGAGGTACCTACAGCTCAATATTAATGTTGAATGTAAATGGCCTAAATGCTCTACTTAAAAGATAACAGAATGCCAGAATAAATTTAAAAAACCACCACCCAAATATCTGCTGCCTTCAAGAGACTCATCTAACACATAAGGACTCACATAAACATAAAGTATAGGGGCAGAAAAAGATATTACACAGAAATTTAAACCAAAAGTCAGCAGGAGTACCTATTCTTATGTAAGAAAAAAACAGACTTTAAAGCAACAACAGTAAAAAAAAAAAAAAAAAAGAAGGAAATTATATAATGATAAAAAAAGTAGTCCAGTACGAAGATATTACAATCCTAAATTTATGTGCATCTAACACTAGAGCTTTCAAATTTATAAAACAATTACTTCTTAGACCTAAGGAATGAGATAGAAACACAATAATAGTGGGGGACTCCAATACTCCACTGACAGCACTAGACAGGTCATTAAGACAGAAAGTAAACAAAGAAAAAAATCAACTTAAACTGTACCCTAGAACAAATGAACTTAAGAGATATTTACAGAATATTCCCCAAATCTGAAGAATATACATTTTTCTCATCAGCACATGGAACATTCTCCAAGATAGACCATGTGATAGGCCACAAAACAAGTCTCAATAAATTTAAGAAAATTAAAATTATATAAAGCATCTTTTCAGACAACAGTGGAATAAAACTCAAAATCAACTCCAAAAGGAACCTCAAAACTATACCAATACATGGAAATTATTAGCCTGGCACAAAAATAATTGTTTTTTGACATGAAAAGTAATGGCACCAACCAACCTAATTCAAACGTGGATCCAACCAATCTTTGGATTCACAGCTAAATTCTATCAGGCCTTCAAAGCAGAATTGGTACCAATCCTAATAAAACTATTTTAAAAGATAGAGAAAGAGAGAATCCCCCCTAAATAATTCTATGAAGCCAGAATCACCCTAATACCAACTATTTTTGCACCAACCTATTAAATAATCTGTTCTGGAATGATTTGGGGATTAACAATGAAATCAAGATGGAAGTTTAAAAAATATTTGAAATGAATGATAATAGTGACACCACTTATCAAAACTTCTGGGATACAGCAAAAGCAGTGCTAAGAGAAAAATGCATAGCATTTAATGCCTTCATCAAAAAGTTTGAAAGAGCACAAATAGACAATCTAATATCACACTTCAAGGAACTAGAGAAACAAAACAAACTAAACCCAAACCCAACAGAAGAAAAGAAATACAAAAGATAAGAGCAGAACTAAATGAAACAAACAAAAAAAAGTAAAAGCAACAGAAAGCTAGTCCTTTGAAAAGATAAACAAAATTGATAGATCATTAGTGAGATTAACCAAGAAAAGAGAGATGATCCAAATAAGTTCAATTAGAAATGAAAGTAGAGATATTACAACTGATACCACAGAAATACAAAAGACCACTCCGGACTATCATGAACACCTTTACACACACAAACTAAGAAATCTAGAGGAAATGGATAAATTCCTGGAGATATACAATCCTCTTAGATTAGATCAGGAATAAATAGAAACCCTAAACAAACCAATAACAAGCAGCAAGATTAAATAAGTAATAAAACAATTTCCAATAAAAAAAATCCAGGACCAGATGGAGTCACAGCTAAATTATATCAGACATTCAAAGAAGAATTGCTACCAATTCCAATAAAACTATTTTAAAAGATAGAGAAAGAAGGAATCCTCCCTAAATCATTCTATGAAGTTAGGATCACCCTAATACCAAAACCGGGAAAGGACATAACAACAACAGACACTAGAGACCAATGTCCCTGATAAACATAGATACAAAAATCCTCAACAAAATGCTAGCTGATCAAATCCAATAGCATATCAAAAAGATAATACATCATGATCAAGTGGGTTTCATACCACAGATGCAGAGATGGTTTCACATATGCAAGTCAATAAATGTGAAACATCACATAAAGAGAATTAAAAACAAAAGTTATTTGATCATGTTAATAGATGCAGTAAAACCATTTGGTAAAACCCAGCATTGCTTTGTGATTAAAAGCAACAACAGCAACTTGGATAAAGCTGGAGGCCATTATTCTAAGTGAAGTAACTCAGGAATAGAAAACCAAATATCGTATGTTCTCACTTATAAGTGAGAGCTAAACTATGAGGATGCAAATGCATAAAGATAATATAATAGACTTTGAGGACTCGATAGGAAGGATGGGAGAGGAGTAAGGGATAAAAGACTACGTAATCTGGTACAGTGTACACTGCTCGGTTGACAGGTGAACCAAAATCCCAGAAATCACCACTAAGGAATGTATCTATGTAACCACAAACCACCTGTACCATACCAACTATGAAATTAAAATAAAAAATTATTAAAAGTCTGAAAGATGCCAAATTAACAACCTAATGTCATACCTCAAGGAACTAGAGAAACAAAAACAAATCTAACCCAAAGCTAGCAGAAGAAAATAAACATCAAAAATCAGAGCAGATCTAAAGAAACTGAATCAAAAAGAAGAAAAAACAAACAATACAAAAAAATCAATGAAACAAAAAGATAAACAAAATTGATAGACCACTAGCTAGATTAAGCAAGAAAAGAGAAGATTCAAATAAGTTCAACTAGAAATAAAAATGGAGACATTACAGCTGACACCTGAAAAATGCAAAGGATCATTCAACTCTGCTACGAACACCTCTAGGAACACAAACTAGAAAATCTAGAAGAAATTGATAAATTCCTGGAAACATACAACTCCCCTAGCTTTCATCAGGAAGAAATAGAAATCCTGAACTGACAAATAACAAGCAGTAAGATTAAATCAGTAATTTAAACAACAAAAAAAAAATCTACCAGCAAGAAAAATCACAGAGCCAGAGAGATTCACAGCCAAATTCTACTAGATATTTCAGGAAGAATAGGGACTAATTCTAAAGAAACTATTACAAAAGATTGAGAAGGAAGGAACCCTTCCTAACTCATTCTGTGAAGCCACTATTGCCCTGATACCAGAGCCCAGAAAGGACATTACAACAACAACAACAATCTACAGACCAATGTGCCTGATTAATATAGATGCCAGAATCCTCAACAAAATACTAGCAAACTGAATCCAGCAGCATATCAAAAAATAATAATTCACCATGATCAAGTAAATTTCATTCCAATGATGCAGAGATAGTTCAACATATGTAAATCAATAAATGTGATCCATCACATAAACCGAATTAAAAACAAAAATGATATGATTATCTCAATGGATGCAGAAAAAGCATTTAATAAAAGCCAGCATTGCTTTATGATAAAAACCCTCAAAAAACTAGGCATAGAAGGAACATACCTCAAAATAATAAAAGCTGTATATGACAAACCCACAGCCAACATCACCCTAAATAGGGAAAAGTTGAAAGCATTCTCACTAAGAACTGGAGCAAGACAAAAATAGTACCAGAAGTCTTAGCCAGAGCAGTCAGGCAGGAATAAATAAAGGGCATCTAAATTGGAAAAGAGGAAGCCAAACTATGTCTGTTTGTTGATCATATAATCTTATACATAGAAATCGCCAAGGACTCCTCCAAAAGACTCCTAGACCTGATAAATGAGTTTAGTGAGATGTCAGGTTGCAAGATCAATGTACACAAATCAGTAGCACTGCTATATACCAAGAACAACCAAGCAGAGAATCCAACTAAGAACTTAATTTCTTTTACAATAGCTTAAAAAAAAAACACCTTTGAATATACTTAACCAAGGAGGTTAAAAATCTCTAGAAGGAGAATACAAAACACTGCTGAAAGAAATCATAGATGACACAAATGGAAATATATCCCATGCTCATGGATTGGAAGAGTAAATATTTTGAAAACAACCGTATTGCCCAAAGCAATCTACAGATTCAATACAATTCCTATCAAAATGCCACTATAATTTTTCACAGAATTAGAAAAAACAATCCTAAAATTTATATGGAACCAAAAAGGAGCCCAATAGCCAATGCAACCCTAAGCAAAAAGAACAAATCTGGAGACATCACATTATCTGACTTCAAACTATGCTACACAGCTATAAAAACCAAAACAGCATGGCACTGGCATAAAAGTCATGGTCTAATGGAAGGGAATAAAAAACCCCTTAAATAAAGCCAAATCAACCAACTGATCCTTGACAAAGAACATTTTTATCTACATATATATTTGGCTTTATTTATGGATTTTCTATTCTGTTCCACGTGTGTGTGTGTGTGTGTGTCTAGTCAGCCATAAAAAGAACAAAACAATTTCTTTTGCAACAACTTGAATGGAACTGAAGGCCATTATTCTAAGTGAAGTAACTCAGGAAGTGAAAACCAAATATCACATATTCTTGCTTATAAGCAGGAGATAAGCTATGGGTTCACAAAGACATATAGAGTGGTATAATGGACATGGGAGACTCAGAAGAGGGGAGAGTGATGGGGGAGGAATGAAAAACTACCTATTGGGTATAATGTACACAACTTGGGTTTCTGGTTCACTGAAATCTTGGACTTCACCACTATACAATTCATCCATGTAATCAAAAACCACTTGTACTTCTAAAGCTATTGAAATTAAAATAAATAAATATATAAATAAATTCTTTCAAAAAATGTATTTTTAAATAATCAACCCTTGATAATTGTATGCCCCTCTCCTTATCCTTGATAATATTACCTATTTGGAAGCCTTCCTTATCTTAGTGTAATAAACTACTCCAACTTTATTTTGGCTGGTGTTGTCACGATATATCTTTCTTCATTCATTTACTTTTAACCTATCTTTGTCTTTATATTTAAAGTGGATTTCTCGCAGACAACATAGAGTTTGATCTTTTCTTTAAATCTTTGTTGATCTCAGCTTCTGTATTGGTGCATATAGACCATTCACATTGAAAAGTATTATTGATATAGTTAATATTTACCATGTTTGTAGCTTTTCTACTTATTATACTAGTTCTTTCATTTCTTTTGTTTTTCTTCTCTTTTCTACCCTTTCCAGTTTCGATTGCAGATAATATAAAATTCCATTTTATTCCCTAAGCATATTAATTATACTTTTAAAATATTTTAGGGTACTGGGGCTTGTAATAAGCATTTATAAGAAATTTAAGTTTACTCTCACTATGATACTTCATGAGTAGTACAGGAACTTTATACCAGAGTATTAGCAATTTTACACTCCTGTCCTCATCATATTGCTGTCATTCATTTCACTTATATGTATTCCACAATTACCCACTATATAATTACTACTATTACTTTAAATAGACAGTTGCATATTAGAACAATTAAGAATTTTTAAAAATTATCTTTGTCTTTGTTTCTTCTTTGCTGATCTTTGATCTAAGGTTCTGACCTGTATCATTTTTCTTCTCTACAAAGAACATTTTTAAACATTTCTTACAGGCCTGTTGTACTGACACAAAAATCCCTAAGATTTTGCTTATCTGACAAAGTATTTCTCCTTCAGCCTTGAAGGGTAATTTCAATAGATAAAAATATCTGTATTGGTGAGGTTTTTCTTTCAACACTTTATATATCTCACTGTACTCTTTACTTGCTTGTATGGTTTCTGGTGAAAATTCTGGTGTATTATGTACCCTTTTTCTTTTACATGTAATGTGGCTTTTTCGTCCTCTGTCGTCTTCTAAGATTTTTGGTTTTACTTTGTTTTTCTGCAGTTTGAATATGGCATGCCTATGTGTGTATTCTTGTGGTATTTCTTATGCTTGGAATTCTCTGAAATTCTCAGATCTGTGGTTTAATGTCTCATTAATTTTGGAAAATTGTTGGACATTATTTCTTTTTTTTAGAGGCTCAGCAATGCTTATTTATTTATTTATTTTTATTTTTTTCATTTTATTTTATTATTATTATACTTTTAAGTTTTAGGGTACATGTGCACAACGTGCAGGTTTGTTACATATGTATACATGTGCCATGTTAGTGTGCTGCACCCATTAACTCGTCATTTAGCATTTTAAGTATTTTAGCTTCTCCTTTTTCTCTCTTTTTTTCTGCTTTGCGTATTTCAATTACACATATGTTATACATTTTTTTTTTTTTTTGGCATCGGGCCTTAGTTCTTGAATACGTTTTTTTAAATGTTTTTTCTCTTTACACTTCAGTTTGGGCTGTCAAACTCACTGATTCTTTCCTTGGCCATATCTACTCTACTGATAACAGCAGCATAGGCATTATTTGTATCTGTTAGCATTTTTTATTTTTACCATTTTCTTTCCATTCTTTCTTACATTATCCATCTCTGCTTACATTATCCATCTGTTCTTACATGTTGTCTATTTTTTATTGGAAAACTTAACATAGTAAATATGTATTAATTCAAATTAATTTTAAATTTTTCATCTAATAATTTCCAAATCTGTGTCATATTTGAGTCCAATCCTGATGTTTGCTTTGTCTCTTCAGATTGTGTTTTTCTCTTGCCTTTTTCATATCTTCTTGTAACATTTTCGTGTGAAGTATTATTTAATTATTTGGATAATAGAAACTGAGCCAAATAGGCTTTCAGTGTCAGGTGGTGTGTTATTCTGGCTAGGAGCTAGACTGTATTAATGTTTTTGAGCTAGATGATATTAATGATTAATGTTTTTTGTGGCCATTGGTGTTAGAAACTTGTTTCCTTTGCTGACCTTGTTTATGTTTCTCTCCTGATCCCTCTGTTTTTCTATAAGTATTACTTCTTAAATAGAAGCTGTGTCTTATTGCTCTTTCAGTTCTAATCCACTGTTATACTGGAGCCCTATTGATACCGTGGTAAGGTGGAGAGGAGGGGAACATTGTATGATTCTATGATTAAATCTCAATATTTTAGTGGGAGTGAATCCCTAGGCTGTGACTTCAGAATGTTTCTCAGCTTTTTCAACCTCTCTTTAGGTGAGACAGAGCCACAGTGGGCTACAGCTTGGCAATTGCCCTTCCCCCAGTGGGATAAGGCTCTGAGAAATAGGCTTATCTTGGGGAGTAGGACTTTGTTGTGAATATTACTTTCAGTGTATTTCAACATGATTAGCTTTCCTCTCCCCTGGCTCACAATTTGAGGGAATTGTTCTCAGATCTTCACCATGAGGATTTGGAGTAATTCTTGCAGTTAAAACCCTTGGAAGTGTGGGGTATCCCTGAGATTGAGACCTCAAGAACTCTTAAGCCTCCCAAAATTTGTCAAAATTACTATTTAATCTTTCCTGTTAGTTTATGGATCCAGTAGGTTCTGCTTCAGGTAAGGTATCTCTGGTATAATTCTCTGTGTTGGCCTGTCTTTCCAAAGTGGTGATTTACCCTGTGGTCTCAGTTCTCTGATGGCTGTAAGTAACTTTGTTGGTGTTTTTTGTTGTGTTTTGTTTTGTTTTTTTGTAAGAATAGATGTGATTACTTCCAAGCTCTTTAGCAGTCAGTGCTGAGACTGGAAGTTCCTAGTGTTAATCATTTAAATTTTCTGTTCAGACTTGTTCTTTTTCTGATACATATAAATGATTCTTTCTTTGTTGTATTCTTATGTAGAACTAGGGTTTGAGAACAGTAGAATCAGGATTATGGCTCTTTATTTTCTGTGTATGAGTTGTTTACATTCACCTGGGTAGTTTATAACTTTATTTGAACAGGTGGAAAACATCAGAGGATAGTTCTTGTTTTATAGTTTCCTGCATAGAAGAAACATTCATAGTCAGTTAAACCACACACACATCCACACATACTATCTCTCACAATATACATATTTAATGCCATCTTGGCCAACTGCCTTTAATAAATCTCAATTACCAGCATTACACCCTTTACTTTCAAATTGCACTGCCAATTCTGTGTTCATTGAGGACTAAGTGACAATGTTTGCCTAAAGATTTATTAAGAGACAAACCAGTTTTTGAATCTCTTGTAAGCTTTAACTTGAACTGCTATTCTATTTATTTAATCTTATTGTGAAACATTGGTATGTTGGTATTACACAGAAACTCTCAATTTTTAGGGTAATTGGAGGCAAGAATAGCAATGAGGGCAAAAGTTTGTAACCACTTTGATATAGTAGAGAAACTGGAGGTTGAAACACTTGGGAAGATGCCAGTATAAAGGGTATCATTAGAGGGCTGAGAAAATTGATAAACTATTCACATTTAATCACATCAAATATAAAATATTAATAATCAAGCTAGTTTCATTATTACTCTTCATATTAGGTAATTCAATTCTTAAATTTAAGTCCAATAAACATTGTTACAACTTTCAGTCCTTATTTAAGGATGTGGCATTAACTTTCTTGATGGAGACCTAGATCGAGGCAAAGAGGAAATGAAATGAATGTGCAGTATTTGTTAGGATGCTAGATGATGTGATAGCAGATGAAAATTAATTAAACATGATTATATTATCATGCAAATAGAATGATGCTGGGAATTATAACTAGTAACATGAACTGATATTTTTACATATTATAAATATGTAATGTCTTCTTGACAACATTTAATTAAATTTATACACACATAGACATACATGAGCACACACACACATCTCAACTAAGTATTACCTGAAGTTTTCTGGTAACTAGAGACCTGGATACAATTGACTCAATGTTTTATTTCATGTTCATATAACTGCAAAGCTATGATTTCTTAAATTCTTGATTATTCTGACTATAGTTTTCTCCGTTCATAATACTTTCCTTGGTATGTAGCATTTTAATGGCTCTTCAGATTTTGAACCATAGGGTCAGGGAGGGGGAACATAGAGAGGACAAGGGAGGAGGAAAAGGAGGAAGACATAGAGGGGGAGGAAAGAAATGGAAAAAGAAGACAGAAGTGGAGGAAGAGGAAGAGAGGGATGGAAACCAGAAGTGATGGGGAGGTGGGGGAAGAAAGAGAGAGTCATTTGCCTTGTTTCCTCAACGTCTCTGTAGAAATAACTACAAATATAAGTACGTAGCTTGCCTAAGTTGGTTGGTCATCGGGATAGGTAACAAAACACATTCTACATGAAGTAACATACAGTCAACGATAATTTGCTGTACACTTTAAAACAAGTAAAAAAGTATAATCATAACGTTTATAACACAAAAAAATGATAAATGCTTGAGGTAATGGATACCCCATTTACCCTGATGTGATTATTACACTTTGTATGCCAATATCAAAATATCTCATGTACTCCATAAATATATACACCTACAATGTACTCATAAAAATTAAAAAAAGAAACGACATATATATATTTCCAAATCAGAATCCTTTCCCCATCCTGGGGATTCTCATGGGATACATCACTTTACTCAGCACACCAAGTTTTCCATCATTTCCTGTTTCTTTCTTCCTCTGAACACTTTCTTTTATGTCCTATCATCTAAAGGAGCAAATGTGAATCTCTGATTTCCTCGTATAGGGCACTTTAGCCCTGTCATTTGTTATCTTGCTTCTTTCTGACATTCACCACTCAAAGCAGTTTAATAAAATATCATCAGCCAGCCTCTCTCTCTTCCTTTCTCTGTCTCTGTCTCTCTCACTCTCCCTCTCTCTCTTCTTTCTTTCACTTCCCTAAATTATCTCTTTTACACATATAAATACAGTCACACAAACACAGAAGCAGTTTCAGAACTCTGACCCACTGACATTGAAAAAATAAACGCTAACCTTAATCAATAAGGGAGACTACATCCTGGTCAATTAGCTGTAGTTTTATGTTTTTAATTACTATTTGTAAAGTTTATGTTTACGGGCATATTGAAAAAAAGTCAGAATGTAAGTCATTAGAATTTCTCATAACTGAATTCTGCTTTTGCAAAAGGAAAGGTAAACAAGTCAGGAAGTATAAGAAAAAGGCTCATCAGCTTGGTTGGAAAAAAAAAATGGAATACGGATACTTATGTTGGGAGACTTTAGGGATAAAGCTTCTTTGACTGGCATAAATGAAGTGTTAAGTGGTATAAGTGACTTGTGACCGTTCCCAACATACGTGCAGACGGATTTCCTTGGTCATTTTAGGCATTTCAGGGATTAGAGGAGCTAACACATCTATCACAACATAGAATGTATAGACATGATTAATTTTATTTGTTTTGACACGATTATATATCTGGGATGTGTCACTAACAAACTAAAAAATAGTCAACACTTATTAACAGGAAGTTATTAATTTTAATAAATGTATATAAATATGTATATTTCTGAATGTGTTCCATGTTTTGGGTGATATGCTAAGAACACAATAATAAATAAGGAATTACACCTTTTAAACTTTTTTTTTTTTGGCCAGTCTCGGTGGCTCATGCCTATTATCACAGCACTTTGGGAGGCCGAGGCGAGCGGATCACTTGGGGTCAGGAGTGAAATCCCATCTCTATAAAAAAAAAAAAGTACAAAAAATTAGCCGGGCCTAGTGGCATGCGCCTGCAGACCCAGCTACTTGGGACGGGGGCCTGGCTGAGGCTGGAGAATCGCTTGAACCCGGCAGGTTGAGGCTGCACTGAAAAGAGATCGCGCCACTGCAGGATCAAAAATGAGACAGGGGGTCGCTCTGTTGCCTAGGCTGGAGTGCAGTGGCAGGATCACGGCTCACTGGAGCCTAGAACTGCCGGGCTCAGGCTATTCTCCCGCCTCAGCCTCCCTGGTAGCTGGGACTACAAGCATATGCCACCACACCCAGTTAATTTTTTGTAGATATGGGGTTTTGCCATGTTGCCCAGGCTGGGCTCGAACTCTTGAGTTCAAGCAACTTTTAAACTTTTAAGGATAGTGGAGTAAACAAACATAATAGCAAATAATTATAATTCAGTGCCTCAATTGCCCTAAGACTGTATTTCCTGTCAGGAATGACACCTAAGTCAATTTCCTTTCTTTGGCTTTTCACCTGCTGGCTAGGTTATCTCCACATCCAAGTCATATGGCTTCTGACACATAACATATGGGTTTGGACAAAGTGAGAGCTCTGTTCAGTTAACCTCAAAAAGCACTAGAATTGGGTTCACCACACTGTGTTCCGAACCATGGATTAATGATTGGCTCCACTGGAGAACAGAGGCAAAAATTGCAGGGTGATGGAATATCGGGAAAAGCTTGAGTACATTACTCTGTGTCATCAGGTGGGGTGTGGTTGGGAGCTAATAACTGTCATGAGTGTGTCTCAGTTCCCTGATTCTTTGAAAGTCAGGAAATAACAGAATAGTTGAACTCAGTTTTTCTCTACCCTAGAAACTGGAAGATGGTAGGAGACCTTTCCACACTCTTAATGGCATCTTTTGATTAGCACACATTTCTTATTTTAATTTAGTCTATTAACTGATTTTTATGTGCTATTAAAGATATCATTGCCTATCCCAAAGTCATGAAGATATTCACTAGTATTATATTCTAGAAGCTTTATATATTTTTAATCATTCACACTGAAGTATGAAACCTTGATATTTGTGTATCATGTCAGGTAAGGGTTCATGATGTAATGATATTTTTATGGCTACCAATTACAGAAATGATTCCTTTCCCCACTGCTTTGCAATGCCAGTTTTGTTATAAAGCATGTTCATATATGTGTTGGTCTGTTTACACATGTGTTATTTTGATATGGTTGTCTGTCTACAATTTCTCTGACACCACAATGTTTAGTTACCTCACCTTTATAGTAAGTTTCCATATATGGTTGTATGACTCCACTAGTTTTGTTCTTAAAGTTTGTCTTAGCTAATTGTTTCACTTTTATTTTCAAGTAAATTTTAAAATTACCGTAGCTTCCACAATTGGCCTCTAAGAATTTCACTGTGGTTCCACCAAATCTATAAATCAATTTAAAGATGATAAATGAATGTCATTATACTAATGAACCGTTCAGTTCATGAATATGGTATATCTTTACATCTGTCTATATGGCATTTTTTGTTACTGAAAACTAATTTTAAAATTCATGCATAGGACTCATCTAATTCCATTGGTGTAGACTTTAGCACCATGCTTGCTACTTGCAATTGATGTCATAACACAGATACATTTTGGTTTGCAGTCTGTACTTTAGTAGTGTTTATTTAGTGGACTGTAGTAAAGCCCTTTATACATATCATTAAGCTCTTCACAGTACACATTTAACGATGGTCCAGTAATCTCAAAAAAGGCCTACTTTAGTCAATAAATTGAACAAAACCCACACAATGCTCTCCCACTCCCCAAAGCCAGGAGTTGTGAGTTATATTTACAGTGGAGCTTAATGTTTTTAAAATAGTTCTGGTTTTCCAACCACCCCATGCCACCTCAGGTTTGCAGCAATATTAATGTATTGTTTTATTCTAACCCTCCCAGTGTTATTAATCCAGTGACCTTTAGCTTTCTAAAATACAAATTAGGAAAGTGTTACTAATAAGATTTTTTAAAAGACATAGTCTTCTATAACAAGAATGACATATAAACCAATCGATAAAAGTATTTGACAAGACATGAAATTACCACAGGCACTGGCTGTTTTTTCAAGTTGGGATCTCTATCCCGCTATCTCACATTCATAGTATTATTAAGGTAATTAAAATACTGAAAATTGGACTCCAAGTTGTGGGGTCTGAATGTGAATGCGAAATATATATTATCTTTTGAGCCCACTTCCCCTGCCAAAATTCAAGTTTTTTTGAGGTAAGAACTCAAAATCCAATTAACAGCCTTCTTTAATAAGGAAAAGTGATGATACTTTCAGGAAACAATTTTCATGCTTGAAAGTTGCCATGAGAGAGCATTCTTACCTGAGTGGTTTTTCATTTTATCTACAGGACAAATAAATCCACATTATGCCCTATGTATTCTAAATATAAAAGTAATTTTCCTTTTATGGAAAGGACATTCCTGTCTGTGTGTGTATGTGTGTGTGTGTGTGTGTGTGTGTGTGTGTGGTGAGATGGAGTCACTCTGTCACCCAGGCCGGAGTGCAGTGGTGAAATCTCGGCTCACTGCAACCTCCGCCTTCCGGGTTCAAGCAATTCTCCTGTCTCAGCCTCCCAAGTAGCTGGGATTACAGGCGCCTGACACCATGACTGGCTGATTTTTGTATTTTTGTAGAGATGGGGTTTCACTGTGTTGGCTAGACTGGTCTCGAACTCCTGACCTCAAGTGATCCACCTGCGTGGGCCTCCCAAAGTGATGGGACTAAAGGCGTGAGCCACTGCACCTGGCTGAAAAGGACATTTCTCTAAGCATTCATGCTGGCAGAAACCACCCACCCACATTCGTCCCAGGAGCCATCTGTATCAGTCCATTACTGAGTTGAGCCCTTTCCCTTCCTAACAAAGGCCACTGGTTTGGTTACTGAGATTCCTTCTGCTAGATGGCTTTTTTTTTTTAACTTTCCCCAGTAATATTTTTAACATTCTGTGTATAATTTTTATACAGATAAATTGAGTATTAGGGTTATGTTATTTTACACCAGGGAGGATTTGTCTTAACAATTTGAAGACTTAAGGTAGAATTAGGTAACTTTTAACACAATCAGTGGTTGAATTGATTTGAAGCTAGCCTTCAGTCATTTTTCATTTATCTTTGTTTCCAGTATATGTTAAACAGATAAATTTTTAGTATAAAGGAAACAAATATTATAAATGTCCAAGTGGAATCCATAGTCTTGGAGAAGTAGTCTATTTTAAGAGTTCATGACTCATACAATGTTAGGAGGAAGTGTGAATGGGTTAGAAAAAGATTGACCTGAAATAACTAACATAGACCGCCAGGAAGATAATGATGTTGTTAAATGAAATAGAAAATATATGTAAAGCCGAAGCTTAAACAAAAATTATTTCAGTTTTGATCTTTTTGGAGGACAAGATATGGAGGCTAAAGCAACTCCATCTTCTATGCTAATCCACCATGTTGGCTTCTAATTAACACGTGTTACGTGAAGGTCTCTGAGATTTCCATTTATCTATTGTTCCTTATGTTAGAGCAGGTACTTACACTAAATTCTGCTTTTAGGTCAAACAGCCTTGATGCTATTGTACTTCAATTGTCCTACCCTTCTGAACCAACCCTCACCTATGGCATCTATGCCCTAGGTCTGGGGTTAATGACATGGGGTCCACCATCTTTACTTGCTGCTGCTCAAGACACAGACCTAAATTCTGTTCAAAAGTCTCGGTTAAATGTTTCTTCCTAAGAAACCGGATTTGTCAGCATCTTTCCTCGGCCTATTGACTTCCTCGGATTTTGAGGTAGGTTCGTACAGACCTGTCCACTGTGAAACACAGGGTAATTCCTGAGTCTTTATGTCTCAAAGATACTTTTAAATTGTTGCTTAGTAGAGAAATTAGGGCCAAAATAATGATTTGGACCAAACTGAAAATAAATATGCAGAAATGTAGAGTTACTGGATTAAACAGATTGTAGATGGGTAACTTGTTTACTTGAAAGCTTTTAAAATTTTTATACATTTATATTTATTTTTTAACACATTTTATGTGAGGTTTTTTAATGTATAGAAAAGATTCTTGACATTACTTTTTACTGAAATAAATAAAAATTATTTAAATTGAGTGCTAAGTATGGGCTGACCAAAGCTCAAATGTGCTTTTCTCTCTATTAAAATGACTAAGTACAGAAATTCAGGTTTCATGAAAGCTCTATCAAGACATTCTAGCATACTGGACAGTATAATATGTCTGTCACCGGAAGTTTTTCTCAGACGTTTTAATGAAGATGTGTATCAGTATAGTGTTTGAGTATTATGGTCAAGTCGTGGGCTCTTTATAGACACAGTCTGAGACACATAAGAGCAACTAAGAATAAATAAATCCCTCTCCCTCTCCCTCTCCCCACGGTCTCCCTCTCCCTCTCTTTCCACGGTCTCCCTCTGATGCCGAGCGGAAGCTGGACTGTACTGCTGCCATCTTGGCTCACTGCAACCTCCCTGCCTGATTCTCCTGCCTCAGCCTGCCGAGTGCCTGTGATTGCAGGCGCACGCCACCACACCTGACTGGTTTTCGTATTTTTTTGGTGGAGACGGGGTTTCGCTGTGTTGGCCGGGCTGGTCTCCAGCTCCTAACCGCGAGTGATCCGCCAGCCTCGGCCTCCCGAGGTGCCGGGATTGCAAACGGAGTCTCATTCACTCAGTGCTCAATGGTGCCCAGGCTGGAGTGCAGTGGCATGATCTCGGCTCGCTACAACCTCCACCTCCCAGCCACCTGCCTTGGCCTCCCAAAGTGCCGAGATTGCAGCCTCTGCCTGGCCGCCACCCCGTCTGGGAAGTGAGGAGCGTCTCTGCCCGGCCGCCATCCCATCTGGGAAGTGAGGAGCGCCTCTTCCCAGCCGCCATCCCATCTAGGAAGTGAGGAGCGTCTCTGCCCGGCCGCCCATCGTCTGAGATGTGGGGAGCGCCCCTACCCCGCTGCCCCGTCTGGGATGTGAGGAGCGCCTCCGCCGGGCCGCGACCCTGTCTGAGAAGTGAGGAGCCCTTCCACCCGGCAGCCGCCCCGTCTGAGAAGTGAGGAGCCCCTCCGCCCAGCAGCCACCCCGTCCGGGAGGGAGGTGGGGGTCAGCCCCCGCCAGGCCAGCCGCCCCGTCCGGGAGGGAGGTGGGGGGGTCAGACCCCCGCCCGGCCAGCCGCCCCGTCCGGGAGGGAGGTGGGGGGGTCAGCCCCCCGCCCGGCCAGCCGCCCCTGCTGCGAAGTGAGGAGCCCCTCTGCCCGGCCACCACCCCATCTGGGAGGTGTGCCCAGTGGCTCATTGAGAATGGGCCATGATGACAGTGGCAGTTTTGTGGAATAGAAAGCGGGGAAAGGTGGGGAAAAGATTGAGAAATCGGATGGTTGCCGTGTCTGTGTAGAAAGAAGTAGACATGGGAGACTTTTCATTTTGTTCTGTACTAAGAAAAATTATTCTGCCTTGGGATCCTGTTGATCTGTGACCTTACCCCCAACCCTGTGCTCTCTGAAACATGTGCTGTGTCCACTCAGGGTTAAATGGATTAAGGGCGGTGCAAGATGTGCTTTGTTAAACAGATGCTTGGAGGCAGCATGCTCCTTAAGAGTCATCACCACTCCCTAATCTCAAGTACCCAGGGACACAAACACTGCGGAAGGCCGCAGGGTCCTCTGCCTAGGAAAACCAGAGACCTTTGTTCATTTGTTTATCTGCTGACCTTCCCTCCACTATTGTCCTATGACCCTGCCAAATCCCCCTCTGCGAGAAACACCCAAGAATGATCAAAAAAAAAAAAAAAAAAAGAATAAATAAGTCATCCTTCACATCATAAAACTACTAAATAAATTCCAAATAGTCATGTATAAAATATTTTTTCTTTTTCCCTTAAGTATATATTAAAGTCCATATTTTTTGATGTTGTAATTTTGTCTTGTGGAGTAGTAGAAAACCTATTTTAGCATTGATTATATAAGTCAAGGAAAAATGGAATGCATTATAATTTAATTCACTGACAATAAAAGGAAAATGTAATTCTTAGAGTTTGAAAGAGATGTTAGATAGATTTTAGCCCAGTAGTATTAAATTCTGGCTGCACCTTGGAATCACCTGAGAAGTTGCAAACAATGCTTGATCCTTATCCCAGATCAATTATTCCAAAATTCTTTGGGTTGGGGCCGGACATCTAATTTTTTTGTTTCTCATGAGAGTCTACTGTATAGCCAGTGGTAAATTAAAAAAAAAAAATCCAACAAAAAACAAAACAAAAAAGAAAACACCAATCTAATTCAATCATCTCAATTTACAAATCAGAAATTTCAGAGCTAGAAAGGTTAAGTGATTTGCCCAGTGACTCACTCGTAAATATAAGTACCCAACACATAAATGAAAAATGCTCAGTATCTCTAATCTTCAAGGAGAGGCAAATTAAAACCACAATGAAATATTACCTCACACCTATTAGAGTTACTGTTATCAAAAAGACACATGATAACAAGTGTTTGGAAGGATGTGGAGAAAAGGAAATGTTTGCACACTGTTGGTGGAAATGTAAATTAGTACTGTTATTTTGGAAATTAGTGTGGAGGTTTCTCAAAAATCTAAACATAAAATTACAATATGATCCAGCAATCTCACTGGGTATATATTCAAAACAATTGAAATTGGTATGTCAAAGAAATATCTGCACTTTCATGTTCATTTTTGTATTTTTCACAATAGCCAAGACATGGGAGAAACCTAAATGTCCATCGACAGATGAATGGGTAAAGAAAATATTGTACGTACATTCCCAGAGTTACAATGATGTGCCTTGCAATTTTTTGACTTCACAATGGTGTGATAACTATGTGCATTCAGTACACTCATCAATTTAAGATGAAATTATGCCTAGATTATCCTACCATATGTAGAAATATTCTGAAGGCAGAAACATCCTTTTGACTTAGTATTTTCAGCATGTGATGGGTTTATCAAGACATAACTCCATTGTAATTTGAAGAGCATCTTCATATATACACAATGAAATACCATACAGCCTTAAAAAAGGAAGGAAATTTTATCATTTGTGACAGTATAAATGAAATTGGAGGGCATTATGCCAAGTGTAATAAACCAGGAAGAGAAATATAAATACTGTATAATTTCACTTATATGTGGAATCTAAAAAAGCTGACGTCATAGAAACGAGTAGAAAGATCATCACCAGAAATGTGGGAGATGGGGAGGGTTCAGGAAAGGGGAGGTGTCAATCAAAGGGTACAAAATTTCAATTAGACAGGCACTGTGTGGTAACCACAGTTAAAAATAATCTATATGTCAAAATTGCTAAAATAATATATTTTTATTTTTTTAATTTTATTATTATTATACTTTAAGTTTTAGGGTACAAGTGCACAAAGTGCAGGTTAGTTACATACGTATACATGTGCCATGCTGGTGTGCTGCACCCATTAACTCATCGTTTAGCTTCAGGTATATCTCCTAAAGCTACCCTCCCCCCTCCCCCACCCCACAACAGTCCCCACAGTGTGATGTTCCCCTTCCTGTGTCCATGGGATCTCATTGTTCAATTCCCACCTATGAGTGAGAATATGTAGTGTTTGGTTTTTTGCTCTTGCGATAGTTTACTGAGAATGATGATTTCCAATTTCATCCATGTCCCTACAAAGGACATGAACTCATCATTTTTTATGGCTGCATAGTACTCCATGGTATATATGTGCCACATTTTCTTAATCCAGTCTATCATTGTTGGACATTTGGGTTGGTTCCAAGTCTTTGCTATTGTGAATAATGCCGCAATAAACATACGTGTGCATGTGTCTTTATAGCAGCATGATTTATAGTCCTTTGGGTATATACCCAGTAATGGGATGGCTGGGTCAAATGGTATTTCTAGTTCTAGATCCCTGAGGAATCGCCACACTGACTTCCACAATGGTTGAACTAGTTTACAGTCCCACCAACAGTGTAAAAGTGTTCCTATTTCTCCACATCCTCTCCAGCACCTGTTGTTTCCTGACTTTTTAATGATTGCCATTCTAACTGGTGTGAGATGGTATCTCATTGTGGTTTTGATTTGCATTTCTCTGATGGCCAGTGATGATGAGCATTTTTTCATGTGTTTTTTGGCTGCATAAATGTCTTCTGTTGAGAAGTGTCTGTTCATGTCCTTCGCCCAGTTTTTAATGGGGTTGCTTGTTTTTTTCTTGTAAATTTGATTGAGTTCATTGTAGATTCTGGATATTAGCCCTTTGTCAGATGAGTAGGTTGCGAAAATTTTCTCCCATTTTGTGTGTTGCCTGTTCACTCTGATGGTAGTTTCTTTTGCTGTGCAGAAGCTCTTTAGTTTAATTAGATCCCATTTGTCAATTTTGGCTTTTGTTGCCATTGCTTTTGGTGTTTTGGACATGAAGTCCTTGCCAATGCCTATGTCCTGAATGGTAATGCCTAGGTTTTCTTCTAGGGTTTTCATGGTTTTAGGTCTAACGTTTAAATCTTTAATCCATCTTGAATTGATTTTTGTATAAGGTGTAAGGAAGGGATCCAGTTTCAGCTTTCTACATATGGCTAGCCAATTTTCCCAGCAGCATTTATTAAATAGGGAATCCTTTCCCAATTGCTTGTTTTTCTCAGGTTTGTCAAAGATCAGATAGTTGTAGATATGCGGCGTTATTTCTGAGGGCTCTGTTCTGTTCCATTGATCTATATCTCTGTTTTGGTACCAGTACCATGCTGTTTTGGTTACTGTAGCCTTGTAGTATAGTTTGAAGTCAGGTAGTGTGATGCCTCCAGCTTTGTTCTTTTGGCTTAGGATTGACTTGGCGATGTGGGCTCTTTTTTGGTTCCATATGAACTTTAAAGTAGTTTTTTCCAATTCTGTGAAGAAAGTCATTGGTAGCTTGATGGGGATGGCATTGAATCTGTAAATTACCTTGGGCAGTATGGCCATTTTCACGATATTGATTCTTCCTACCCATGAGCATGGAATGTTCTTCCATTTCTTTGTATCCTCTTTTATTTCCTTGAGCAGTGGTTTGTAGTTCTCCTTCAAGAGGTCCTTCACATCCCTTGTAAGTTGGATTCCTAGGGATTTTATTCTCTTTGAAGCAATTGTGAATGGGAGTTCACTCATGATTTTGCTCTCTGTTTGTCTGTTATTGGTGTATAAGAATGCTTGTGATTTTTGTACATTGATTTTGTATCCTGAGACTTTGCTGAAGTTGCTTATCAGCTTAAGGAGATTTTGGGCTGAGACAATGGGGTTTTCTAGATATACAATCATGTCGTCTGCAAACAGGGACAATTTGACTTCCTCTTTTCCTAATTGAATACCCTTTATTTCCTTCTCCTGCCTAATTGCCCTGGCCAGAACTTCCATCACTATGTTGAATAGGAGTGGTGAGAGAGGGCATCCCTGTCTTGTGCCAGTTTTCAAAGGGAATGCTTCCAGTTTTTGCCCATTCAGTATGATATTGGCTGTGGGTTTGTCATAGATAGCTCTTATTATTTTGAAATACGTCCCATCAATACCTAATTTATTGAGAGTTTTTAGCATGAAGGGTTGTTGAATTTTGTCAAAGGCTTTTTCTGCATCTATTGAGATAATCATGTGGTTTTTGTCTTTGGCTCTGTTTATATGCTGGATTACATTTATTGATTTGCGTATATTGAACCAGCCTTGCATCCCAGGGATGAAGCCCACTTGATCATGGTGGATAAGCTTTTTGATGTGCTGCTGGATTCGGTTTGCCAGTATTTTATTGAGGATTTTTGCATCAATGTTCATCAAGGATATTGGTCTAAAATTCTCTTTTTTGGTTGTGTCTCTGCCCGGCTTTGGTATCAGAATGATGCTGGCCTCATAAAATGAGTTAGGGAGGATTCCCTCTTTTTCTATTGATTGGAATAGTTTCAGAAGGATTGGTACCAGTTCCTCCTTGTACCTCTGGTAGAATTCAGCTGTGAATCCATCTGGTCCTGGACTCTTTTTGGTTGGTAAGCTATTGATTATTGCCACAATTTCAGCTCCTGTTATTGGTCTATTCAGAGATTCAACTTCTTCCTGGTTTAGTCTTGGGAGAGTGTATGTGTCCAGGAATTTATCCGTTTCTTCTAGATTTTCTAGTTTATTTGCGTAGAGGTGTTTGTAGTATTCTCTGATGGTAGTTTGTATTTCTGTGGGATCGGTGGTGATATCCCCTTTATCATTTTTTATTGTGTCTATTTGATTCTTCTCTCTTTTTTTCTTTATTAGTCTTGCTAGTGGTCTATCAATCTTGTTGATCCTTTCAAAAAACCAGCTCCTGGATTCATTGATTTTTTGAAGGGTTTTTTGTGTCTCTATTTCCTTCAGTTCTGCTCTGATTTTAGTTATTTCTTGCCTTCTGCTAGCTTTTGAATGTGTTTGCTCTTGCTTTTCTAGTTCTTTTAATTGTGATGTTAGGGTGTCAATTTTGGATCTTTCCTGCTTTCTCTTGTGGGCATTTAGTGCTATAAATTTCCCTCTACACACTGCTTTGAATGCGTCCCAGAGATTCTGGTATGTGGTGTCTTTGTTCTCGTTGGTTTCAAAGAACATCTTTATTTCTGCCTTCATTTCGTTATGTACCCAGTGGTCATTCAGGAGCAGGTTGTTCAGTTTCCATGTAGTTGAGCGGCTTTGAGTGAGATTCTTAATCCTGAGTTCTAGTTTGATTGCACTGTGGTCTGAGAGATAGTTTGTTATAATTTCTGTTCTTTTACATTTGCTGAGGAGAGCTTTACTTCCAACTATGTGGTCAATTTTGGAATAGGTGTGGTGTGGTGCTGAAAAAAATGTATATTCTGTTGATTTGGGGTGGAGAGTTCTGTAGATGTCTATTAGGTCCACTTGGTGCAGAGCTGAGTTCAATTCCTGGGTATCCTTGTTGACTTTCTGTCTCGTTGATCTGTCTGATGTTGACAGTGGGGTGTTAAAGTCTCCCATTATTAATGTGTGGGAGTCTAAGTCTCTTTGTAGGTCACTCAGGACTTGCTTTATGAATCTGGGTGCTCCTGAATTGGGTGCATATATATTTAGGATAGTTAGCTCTTCTTGTTGAATTGATCCCTTTACCATTATGTAATGGCCTTCTTTGTCTCTTTTGATCTTTGTTGGTTTAAAGTCTGTTTTATCAGAGACTAGGATTGCAACCCCTGCCTTTTTTTGTTTTCCATTTGCTTGGTAGATCTTCCTCCATCCTTTTATTTTGAGCCTATGTGTGTCTCTGCACGTGAGATGGGTTTCCTGAATACAGCACACTGATGGGTCTTGACTCTTTATCCAATTTGCCAGTCTGTGTCTTTTAATTGGAGAATTTAGTCCATTTACATTTAAAGTTAATATTGTTATGTGTGAATTTGATCCTGTCATTATGATGTTAGCTGGTTATTTTGCTCGTTAGTTGATGCAGTTTCTTCCTAGTCTCGATGGTCTTTACATTTTGGCATGATTTTGCAGCAGCTGGTACCGGTTGTTCCTTTCCATGTTTAGCGCTTCCTTCAGGAGCTCTTTTAGGGCAGGCCTGGTGGTGACAAAATCTCTCAGCATTTGCTTGTCTGTGAAGTATTTTATTTCTCCTTCACTTATGAAGCTTAGTTTGGCTGGATATGCAATTCTGGGTTGAAAATTCTTTTCTTTAAGAATGTTGAATATTGGCCCCCACTCTCTTCTGGCTTGTAGGGTTTCTGCCGAGAGATCCGCTGTTAGTCTGATGGGCTTCCCTTTGAGGGTAACCCGACCTTTCTCTCTGGCTGCCCTTAACATTTTTTCCTTCATTTCAACTTTGGTGAATCTGACAATTATGTGTCTTGGAGTTGCTTTTCTCGAGGAGTATCTTTGTGGCGTTCTCTGTATTTACTGAATCTGAACGTTGGCTTGCCTTGCTAGATTGGGGAAGTTCTCCTGGATAATATCCTGCAGAGTGTTTTCCAACTTGGTTCCATTCTCCCCATCACTTTCAGGTACACCAATCAGATGTAGATTTGGTCTTTTCACATAGTCCCATATTTCTTGGAGGCTTTGCTCATTTCTTTTTATTCTTTTTTCTCTAAACTTCCCTTCTCGCTTCATTTCATTCATTTCATCTTCTATTGCTGATACCCTTTCTTCCAGTTGATCGCATCGGCTCCTGAGGCTTCTGCATTCTTCACGTAGTTCCCGAGCCTTGGTTTTCAGCTCCATCAGCTCCTTTAAGCACTTCTCTGTATTGGTTATTCTAGTTATACATTCTTCTAAATTTTTTTCAAAGTTTTCAACTTCTTTGCCTTTGGTTTGAATGTCCTCCCGTAGCTCAGAGTAATTTGATCGTCTGAAGCCTTCTTCTCTCAGCTCGTCAAAGTCATTCTCCATCCAGCTTTGTTCCGTTGCTGGTGAGGAACTGTGTTCCTTTGGAGGAGGAGAGACGCTCTGCATTTTAGAGTTTCCAGTTTTTCTGTTCCGTTTTTTCCCCATCTTTGTGGTTTTATCTACTTTTGGTCTTTGATGATGGTGATGTACAGATGGGTTTTTGGTGTGGGTGTCCTTTCTGTTTGTTAGTTTTCCTTCTAACAGAGAGGACCCTCAGCTGCAGATCTGCTGGAGTACCCTGCCGTGTGAGGTGTCAGTGTGCCCCTGCTGGGGGGTGCCTCCCAGTTAGGCTGCTCGGGGGTCAGGGGTCAGGGACCCACTTGAGGAGGCAGTCTGCCCATTCTCAGATCTCCAGCTGCGTGCTGGGAGAACCACTGCTCTCTTCAAAGCTGTCAGACAGGGACACTTAAGTCTGCAGAGGTTACTGCTGTCTTTTTGTTTGTCTGTGCCCTGCCCCCAGAGGTGGAGCCTACAGAGGCAGGCAGGCCTCCTTGAGCTGTGGTGGGCTCCACTGAGTTCGAGCTTCCTGTCTGCTTTGTTTACCTAAGCAAGCCTGGGCAATGGCGGGCGCCCTTCCCCCAGCCTGGCTGCCGCCTTGTAGTTTGATCTCAGACTGCTGTGCTAGCAGTCAGCGAGATTCTGTGGGCGTAGGACCCTCCGAGCCAGGTGTGGGATATAATCTCGTGGTTCACCGTTTTTTAAGCCGGTCTGAAAAGCGCAATATTCGGATGGGAGTGACCCGATTTTCCAGGTGCGTCCGTCACCCCTTTCTTTGACTCGGAAAGGGAACTCCCTGGCCCCTTGCGCTTCCCAAGTGAGGCAATGCCTCGCCCTGCTTCGGCTTGCACACGGTACGCGCACCCACTGGCCTATGCCCACTGTCTGGCACTCCCTAGTGAGATAAACCCGGTACCTCAGATGGAAACGCAGAAATCACCCGTCTTCTGCGTCGCTCACGCTGGGAGCTGTAGACCGGAGCTGTTCCTATTCGGCCATCTTGGCTCCTCCCCCAAGATTAATAATGTTTAACGAAGTGAAGAAGAAGACAAATTATTGAAGTATGCATTGGATTAAGCCTCAAGGAGGCTTTTGGTTACCTTTGAAGGGGCAATTTAAGTAGTGGGGTGGAAACCATATTGTGCCAATGGAATTCAGAGTTAGAGGTGATCAAATATAAGCAGTATGACAAATTTTATTAAGATCATTTCATCAAGAGATGAATAAAGAAAATTAGCTTAGTGCTTACCTTTAAAAAAATTGAACATGTTTCTTTCTCATTTATCCTCTGGTTCCTTCATTTATTTTCTTGTCAACATGTAAGAGTGCTTTTTTGAGAACATTTTGAATATTAGACTTTTGACCACTAATTTCGTTACAATTTTTCCAAAATAGTATTTTTATCAACTTAACATTATTTTTGCCAAATAAAATATTTCATTTATTATAGACACTGGTAAAATTCTATTTTCTTTCTTAGCCTCTAGTTTTAGAATTTGGTTTAGAATGTTTCCTTCTTACCAAGATGGCTCATATAGTCTCTTTAGAGAGTGCTTGTAGGTTTCTATAGTATATAGTTAAGTATTTAATGTATCTAGAATATGTATTTTTTGTGCATGAGATACGTTAATGGTAATTTAGGAATCTGAAAACCTTCTTATTCAACTTCCTTGCTCAACCACTTTTTTTCAGGCCAGTTTTTACAATAATGGCTGGAAAGCTCAATATATTATCTTTCAGCAATTTTCCTCACAGCCCAAAAAATAAAGTTCTAATCAAAGAATTAGAGAGTCACAGTTTTTTAATAAAATATGGCAAAACATAGCTAGCGGAAAGTCCTTTTTCTTTTTGTACCTTTCCTTTATATCTTCCCTGGATGACTAGAGTTTCAGGAGCCATTTTGCAACCATTGTGGTAGTCACGTAAATTTCCTCAGCAAACCTGGAGGTGGAAAGCCAGAAGGAAACCCATTGCTTACAACATTCTAGAGCATCTGCCTCAGCCTAGACTATCAACTTGTAAACTTTTTGCAAAGTGAGAAAGGTCAACACCTATGCATGACTTTTGTCCTGTTATTTATGGACAAAAGCATTTCTAACAGATACAGGATCTGAGATCAATTTTTTCTGTACACATAGCCAGTTGTGTCATCATAATATATTTTTTCTGACTAAATTAAAATACAATTCTTAGAGATACAGATTACTGTCTTATATACATTATAATCTATTCTGGTAATCTCTATTTAAAGAAAATTTCCTCTATTGTAGGGTTGATAAAATATCAATTTGATTCTTAAAGCTTTATAATTTGTTTTTATGCCAGGCAAACAAGTTTATTCTTAGTCGTCATTTTTTATATATATTTGGGCTTTTCTTGGACAATTATTCCTCTGTATACACTTAATGTATTTTTATAGTAAGAAAAAAACAATTTGTGGATCAATGTGGAAGTCAAAAAAATAATGTTAAGCCTTGGAAGCCTTGGTGTATTTATAATTTTATAATAATAGAATCTGCTCTTAGAAGGCAGGTCTTGGTGCTTGGGGCTTGTTTTTAAGTTGGTCAGTTAACTTATTCATTGTTCTTGATTCTCTAAAAGAATTTTTTTATTTTTTATATATAATTATTATGACTTTATTATTTAATTTAATTTTAAGTATTTTATAGTTGTCCATATTCTGATTAAAATTTTTTCAAATTTCCATTATAAAATGCTTATTCATAAAGATGTAGGTAAGTAGGTAGATTTTAAAAAGGATGTGTTTGACAGATTCTATTGTGTTTTCTGCATATACCATCTAAGGTCATTCCAAAGATGGTTAACTATTTGCAGTCAATGTTTGTGATAGTAATTCCATGTTTTACCTTAGTGTACTCACTGGAATCTCCAAGACAATGTTGACAACAATATTGTTTGTTAGCATACTTGTTTATCTCCTAAGTTTAACTAAAATATTTTTTCTTTAGATTTTTTAGAATATTTTCTACCAGCTGTTTTTATATAGACCTTAAATAATTACATTGAAGAATATATTATTAAACATTTTATTTTTTAACATCTATTTATATTTTACAAAGTAAAAAACAGGCTGAATTTTGTCAAATTATCTACACTCCCACCAACAGTGTATAAGTGTTTCTTTTTAAAAAAATATTTTATTTTATATTAAGTTCCAGGATACACATGCAGGATGTGCACGTTTGTTACATAAGTAAATGTCTGTCGTGATGATTTGCTGCACCTATCAACCCATCACCTAGGTATTAAGACCCACATGCATTAGCTATTGATCCTGATGTTCTCCCTTCCCCCACCCACCGACAGTGTTCCTCTCCCTGTGTCCATGTGTTCTCATTGTTCAGCTCCCACTTATAAGTGAGAAAGTGCAGTGTTTGGTTTTATACTCTTGTGTTAGCAGTGTTCCTTTTTCTCTGCAACCTCAGCAGCATCTGCCATTTTTTGACTTTTTAGTAATAGCCATTGTGACTGGTGTGAGATGGTATCTCATTGTGGTTTTGGTATGTATTTCTCCAATGATCAGTGATGCTGAGCTTTTTTTCATATGCTTCTTGGCCACCTCTATGTCTTCTTTAAAAGTATGTGTTCATGTCCTTTGCCCACTTTTTCATGGGGTTTGTTTCTAGTAAATTTGTTTACGTTCCCTATAGATACTGTATATCAGACCTTTGTCAGATGCAGAGTTTGCAAATATTTTCTCCCATTCTGTACATTGTCTGTTCACTCTGTTGATAGTTTCCTTTGCTGTGTAGAAGCTCTTTGGTTTAATTAGGTTCCATTGTCAGTTTTTGGTTTTGTTAGAATTGCTTTTGGCATCTTCATCATGAAATCTTTGCCTGTTCCTATGTCCTGAGTGGTATTGCCTAGATTATCTTCTAGGGGTTTTATGGATTTGGGTTTTACGGTTTTGGGTTCTACATTTAAGTCTTTAATCCATTTTAAGTTAATTTTTGTATATGGTGTAAGGAAGGGGTCCAGTTTCAATCTTCTGCACATATCTAGTCAGTTATTCTAGCTCCATTTATTTAATAGGATATCGTTTCCTCATTGCTTGTTTTTGTCAGGTTTATTAAAGATCAGATAGTTGTAGGTGTGCAATCTTATTTCTGGGTTCTCTATTCTGTTCCTTGGTCTGTGTGTCTTTTTTTGTACCAGTATCATGCTGTTTTGGTTACTGTAGCCCTGTAGTATAGTTTAAGGGAGGTAGTGTGATGCCTTCAGCTTTTTTCTCTTTGTGTAGGATTGCCTTGGCTATTTCGTTTTTGGTTCCATATGATTATTAAATTTTCTCTAGTTCTGTGAAGAATGTCAATGGTAGTTTAATAGAAAAAGAACTGAATCTACAAATTGTTTTGTGTAGTATGGCCATTTTAGCAATATTGACTTTTTGTAGGCATGAGCATGGAAGTTTTTCTGTTTGTTTGTGTCATCTCTGATTTCTTTGAGGAGTGTTTTGTAGTTCAGCTTGTAGAAATCTTTCATGCCCCAGATTAGCTGCTTTCCTAGGTATTTTATTCTTTCTTGTGTCAATTGTAAATGGGATTGTGTTCCTGATTTGGCTCTCAGCTTGACTGTTGTTGGTGTATAGGAATGCTGGTGACTTTCACACATTAATTTTGTATCCTAAGACTTTGCTGAAATTGTTTATCAGTTTAAGGAGCTTTTGGGCTGATACTATGGGATTTTCCAGATATCTAATCATGTCATCTGCACACAGAGATAATTTGACTTTCTCTTTTCCTATATGCATCTCCTTTATTTGTTTCTCTTGTCTGATTACCCTAGGCAGTACTTCCAATACTATGTTGAATAAAAGTGGTGAAAGAGGGCTTCCTTGTTTTGTGCTGACTTTCAAGTAGAATGCTTCCAGCTTTTGCCAATTCAGTATGATGCTGGCTGTGGTTTTCTCATAGATGGCTCTTATTATTTTGAGGGATGTTCCTTCAGTACCTATTTTGTTGAGAGTTTTTTTAACATGAAGCGGTGTTTAATTTTATCAAAAGTCTTTTCTGCATCTGTTGAGATAATCATGTGACTTTTGTCTATAGTTCTGTTCACATGAGGAATCAAGTTTATTGATTTGTTTATGTTGAACTAATCTTGTATCTCAAAGATAAAACCTACTTGATTGTGGTGGATAAGCTTTTTGATGTGTTGCTGGATTTACTTTGCCAGTATTTTGTTGAGGATTTTTGCATCAATGTTCATCAAAAACATTGATGTGAAGTTTTCTTCTTTTGTTGTGTCTCTGCCAGGTTTTGGTATCAGGATAATGCTGGCCTCCTAGAATGAGTTAGGGAGGCATCCCTACTCAGGATTTTGAAATAGTTTCAACAAGAATGATACCAGCTCTTCTTTGTACATCTGGTAGAAATCAGCTATGAATCCATTTGGTCCTGGGCTTATTTTGGCTGGTAAGCTATTTATTGCTGACTCAATTTCAGAGCTCGTTATTGGGCTGTTCAGGGATTCAATATCTTCCTGGTTCAGTCTTAGGAGCGTGTATGTGTCCAGGAATGTAACCATTTCTTCTAGATTTTCTAGTTTATGTGCATAGAGTTGTCATAATATTTTCTGATGGTTGTTTGTATTTCTGACTGGTCAGTGGTAATATTCCCTGTCATTTCTGATGGTATTTGTTTGAATATTCCATTTTCTTCTTTATTAGTCTAACTAATGGTCTATCTATTTTATTAATTTCTTTCAACAAACCAGCTCCTGAATTTGTTGATCTTTTGAATGTCGTGTGTGTGTGTGTGTGTGTGTGTGTGTGTGTGTGTGTGTGTCTCAATCTCCTTCAGTTCAGCTCTGATTTTGGTTATTTCTTGCCTTCTAGCTTTGGAATTTGTTTGCTCTTGGTTCTCTACTTCTTTTAGTTGTGATGTTAGGTTAACTTGACATCTTTCTAAGTTTTTACTGTGAATATTTAGTGCTATAAATTTCCTTCTTAACAGTGCCTTAGCTGTGTCGCAGAGATTCTGGTGTGTTTTATCTTTGTTCTCATTAGTTTTGGAGAACTTCTTGATTTCCTCCTTAATTTCAGTATTTATTCTAAGGTCATTTAGGAGCAGGTTATTCAATTTTCAGGTAATTGTATGGTTTTGAATGTATTTCTTAGTCTTGATTTCTAATTTGATTGTGCTGTGGTTCGAGAGATTGTTTGTTATGATTTCAGTTCTTTTGCATTTGCTAAGGAAGGTTTTACTTCTAAGTATGTGATCAATTTCAGACTATATGCCATATGGCAATGAAAAGAATATATCTTCTGTTGGTTTTGGGTGGAGAGTCCTGTAGATATCTATCATGTTCATTTGATCCAGTGCTAACTTCTGGTTCTGAAGATCTTCATTAATTTTCTATCTTGATGACCTGTCTGATATTGTCAGTGGGATGTTAAAATCTCCCACTATTATTGTGAAGAAGTCTAAGTCCCTTTGAAGGTCTCTAAGAACTTGTTTTATCAATCTGGGTGCTCCTGTTTTGGGTGCATATATATTTTGGGTAGTTACATCTACTTGTTGAATTGAACTCTTTACCACTCTGTTATGCCCTTCTTTATCTTTTTTGATCCTTGTTGGTTAAAAGTCTGTTTTGTCAGAAACTAGGATTACAACCCCGGCTGTTTTTCTGTTTTCCATTTGCTTGGTAGATTTTTCTCCATCCCTTGTTTTTTTTTGTTTTTGTTTTTGTTTTTGATTTTTTGTTTGTTTGTTTTTTGCCTATGGGTGTGAAATGGGTCTCTTGAAGACAGTATACCAAAGGGTCTTGTTTCTTTATCCAGGTTGTCACTCTGTGTCTTTTAAGTGGGGTATTTAGCCCATTTACATATAAGGTTAGTATTGATATGTGTGGATTTGATCTTGTCATAATGATGTTTACATGGTTATTTTGCTGACTTCTTTATGTGGTTGTTTTACAGTGGTCGCTTGTCTGTGTACTTAGGTGTGTTTTTTTAGGAACTGGTAGTAGTCTTTTCTTCCCATATTTAGTGCTTCCTTCAGGAACTCTCATAAGGCAAGTCTGGTGGTAACAAATTCCCTCAGCATTTACTTGTCTGAAAAGGATCTTATTTCTCCTTTGCTTATGAAGCCTAGTTTGGCTAGATATGACATTCTATGCTGGAATTTCTTTCCTTTAAGAATGCTGAATATTGTCCCCCTATCTCTTCTGCCTTGTAGGGTTTCTAAGGAGATGTCTGCTGTTAGTCTTTTCTCTCTAGCTGCCTTTAACAATTTTTTTTTTTCATTTTGACCTTGGAGATTCTGATGATTATGTGTCTTTGGGATGATCTTTTTGTGGACTATCTTACTGAGGTTCTCTGCATTTCCTGAACTTGAATGCTGGCCTCTAGCTAGGTTGGGGAAATTCTAATGAATGATATTCTGAAATATGTTTTTCAAGTTGGTTCCATTCTCCCTATCTCTTTCAGGGACATCAACGAGCCATAGATTTTGTCTTCTTACATAATCCCATATTTCCCAGAGGCTTTGTTCATTGCTTTTTATTCTTTTTTCTCTATTATTTCCCAACTGTCTTATTTCAGAAAGCCAGTCTCCAAGCTCTAATATTCTTTCTTCAACTTGGTCTATTCTGCTGTTAATATTTATGATTGTATTATGAAATTCTTGTAGTGTGTTTTTCTGGTCTATCAGAGTGGTTATATTCTTTTCTACCCTGGTTATTTTGTTTGTCAGCTCCTGCACTGTTTTATCATGATTTTTAGCTTCCATGGATTGAGTTTCAATGCACTCCTGTACCTCGATGATCTTTGTTCCTATCTATATTCTGAATTCTATTTCTTTCATGTTAGCCATGTCAGTCTGGTTCAGAACCCTTCCTGAAGAGGTGATGCTCTCATTTGGAGAAAAAAAAAGACACTCTGGCTTTTTTAGTTTTCAGGGTTCTTGTGCTGATTTTTTCTCAACTTTGTGGGCTTATCTACCTTCGATCATTGAGGTTTCTGACTTTTGGATGAATTTTTTTAATCTCATTTGATGAACTTGAGGGTTTGCTTCTGTTATAAGGTGGATTCAGCCAATTTGCTTTGTTTCTAGAAGATTTTAGGTGGCCAGCACTGAACTCCCAACTCCTGGACTGTATGCTCTAACTCTGGGGGACTTGTATTGGGCATGACTTTGTTCTCTGGCTTCTTAAGATTAGGAATCCACTGCCTTGGTGGTGCCTGAGATATGGCAGTTGTGGCAGAGTGCTAGCAGGTGCCACAGTGCTGGCCTCCCTGTGGGTGTTCACCACAATGGTGGAGGCAACACAGTTGGCAGGGGTCCCTGCTGGTGACTGTGTGCATGGTCTTACTGGGTGGGGAGTGTTGGTGGATGCAGGTCTAGGTGCCTTCTCTAGGTGCCAAGCAGCAAGCAGGAGTGATTTCTCAGAGCACATATCTTAGTTTTGTCAGAGGTGTTGAAACCAGGGCGACTCTATCTGGAATAGGGTATGGGTAAAATCTTATGTATTTTTAAATAATGAAATGAATGGAATTTGAATGTTACTAACAGAAAGAAATTATAAGCGTTTGAGGTAATGGATACTTTAATTATTCTGATTTGATCATTACACATCGTATGCCTGTATCAAAACATCACATTTACCCCATAAATAAATACAATTATTATGTACCCATAAAAATTAAAAATTAAATTTATTTTAAAAGACTAAAAGCAAAATAACTACACGTATTTCTGTACTCTAGTTGGTAACATTCTTTACCACTAGGGAAAGGATTAAGAATTCTGATAACAGTGTACACAGAAACAGGAATTGAAAAATTAAGTAAATACATGACAATTGATGGAAACCAGGCTTCTCACTGTTGAAGTGGGGATCTACAGATAAGCAAGAAGAGAAATTTAATTGATCAATACTGTAATGAATTACAGCTTTTGACAATATTAAAAACTCTTATGTAACAATATAAATCAAGTTGGTTGTGTAGATAAATATTTATTAAAATGTGTATACAAATGGTTAGTATTCACACATATATTTCTTTGCTCTGACAGATGAGAGGTCTAAAATAAATGAGACCCCAGTAGCAATGAGTGCATCTATCACTCAGACTTTGATGTTTGATGCTATTACATGGAGCCAAGTCTCCTTGAAGAAATACTGATTCTAAGGCTGGAGAGGGAGATCAAAAAATCTGCAAGATGAACCTGAAGCATCTTATAGTGCCAGAAAGTAAGGAATTCTAAAAGCAAACAAACAGAAACAACAACAACGTAAGCAATGTTTTTTAAACTCTAGAAAACATAATAACAGGATATTTCAAAAAGACACAGAAGCCAACTGAAAGAGCTCCCAATGGCCAAAGCTGGAACCATTTAAGCAAGAATATAAGTAAGGATTATGTATTGGATCATAGCCCAAAGTATAAAATAGATATCCATGAGATATTTATATAGATAATATATGTCTATACTTATATAAATACATGATTGAATAAACTAATAAATGGGAAAACGGAGACAGCCCATGCAGAAGAATTTCAAATAAACTATGTAGACACTTCACCCTAAAAAGGTGGAGCTTAAATCCTTGCTCCTTAAGTGTGTGCTGCGCATAATGTCTTCCCTCCAAAGAGTACAGTATAAAAAGGGTAAAAATATTAAGTCTACAGTAGAAAAACTTGATAAACACTACTTTAGCCAGATAATCAATGTCAACATCAATAGTCATAAATCATCTTAGGGCATATACTTAATATGATTTTATGAGAGTGGCAGTTTACATGTGTGACCTTCTTCCCCAAAACTCATAACCCTGGTATATTTAGGAGAAAAATATTCGAAAAATTTTAAAAGTCATATTGCAATACTTCTGACCATTGTTCCTCAAAAACATCAAGCTTCATCTAAAACAAGGGAAGTCAACAAAACTGTCACAGTAAAGAAGAGGCTAAGGAGACATGCCTACTAAATATAATGTGGTATCTATTATAGAGGAATTTCCGGAACAGAAAAAAGGACAATAGTTGATGCTATAGTTTGAATTTTTGTCCCACCAAGCCACATGTTAAAATTTGATCCCCAGCATTAGAGGTGGGGCCCGATGAGAAGTATGTGGGTCATGGCAGCAGATCTCTTACAAATGCCTTGGTGCCATCCTCATGGTAACGAGTGAGTTCCCACTCTTCTAGGATTATTTTAGTTCCTGAGAGAGCTGATTGTTAAAAACAGCCTGGCATCTCTTCCCTCCCTCTCTCTTGGGATTCCTGTCTCACCAGGTGATCTCTGCACATGCCAGTTCCTTTTTGCCTTGCACCATGAGGGGAAGTAAGCGTGAGGCTTTCACCAGATGTCCAATCTTTCAGTTAGCAGATCTGTGAGCCAAATGAACCTCCTTTCTTTACAAATTACCCAGCCACAGGGATAATTTTATCACAAAAACTAAGGTAATCTGAGAAAGCATAAGCCTTGGTTAATAAAAATGTATCAATATCAGTGCATTCGTTACAACAAAAGTATAATATTAATAGTAGAGGAATAATAGAGGAAACTACACAGTGGTGTATAGGAACCATCTGTACCATCTGCTCAATTTTTCTGTAAATCTGAAACTGTTGTAAAAAATAAAGTATTATATATTTTTTAAATTAAACACTCATGACTTCTGTAGAATATTATAGCCATTGAAGTGACGCAAATAGTTATAAAGACATTCAGTTTCAAGTGACCTACTTTACTCTTCGATCTCAGTATGTTCAGAGAACTATTAATGTTCATCTCATTTTGGAGCCTGTGGACCACTTCCAGTGACTCTGCAAGTTAAGACTAGATGTGAGAGTGGCTGGTTTGAAGAAAAGAGACTTTTTTCACTTTGGGGTTGGAAGGTGGAATTATGCTCTCCATCTTTGGTATGAGAGAAAGTACTGAAATAATGAATAAAGCTAATTTTCAATAGGATTCTTTCTGGATGTATCCATAGCCCACCATTTCTCATGGTAACTAAGGAACAACTTTATAATTTCATTGACTTTCAACAACAAATATTTACTTTTCACTCATGTTGCATATTAACAGCTGAGGACACTTACATGTGCATTCCAAATACACTAAGAGCTTTGTCAGAAATATGTATTAAAGATGTCTTCTCCAGTTGTATAAGTTGCTTTTCAATTGTTTAATGGTGTTTTCTGTTGAGCATAAGTATTTAGTGCAGCTTATGCAAAGAAAAAAAAGTTCTTGATGTTATACTGTAACTCTATTGGGTTTTATTCTTTATATAAAGCTGTTGAAAATCACCACAGAGTGTCAAACAAGCACTGTGATCACTTCTGTGTTCCCATCTGTACCAAATACAGAAGGATCCTTCATACCTGAAGGAGAGACAAATGACCTCTTTTTGCCTCCCCAAGTATATAAGGAAGCTCTCCACCCCTCTAGGAGGCAGAACAGAATTTAAGCCAAGTGGAAAAAGAGATGTACATGTAGCAAGCATTTTCTTTTGCCTGTCTGAGTGTCTTCTTTTCTTTTGTTGCCACACTCATCAACTCTTCAGGGTCCTCAAACTACACTTTCTCCTCCAACCCAGCCAGGTTCTTCACTGAAGGGCCCCATCATGACCACATGCTGTCTCATTCTCATAAATATTCCTCTTTATTATGTATGGACATTTTCCTTGTTGAACCCGCTGAGTGTTCTAGACCCTTCTATAGAATTAAGAAAGTTGGAATCTGGTAAATAAATGGATATAAATATATTTGTCTGTCTAATAACTTATATTTGTAAATAATTGTTTTCAATATCTCAGTTCAAAAATAAGATTTGTTGAGACTTTCAAGAAATGTAGAAAAGGTTTTGAAAGTCAGAGAGTAGGGAAAAACAGGGAAACTTTTCATGCAACTTGCAACTCAGGTCTTCAACACAAATTTTAAAAACATGAAATATATCCTGCTTATTTTCTTGTTTCTCCCTCTTATACTTGATGATGTAGTCTAACATTTTAACCAGCTATTTTCCTATAATTTTCACAAAACATAAGATTCTAAAAACCTCAAATATTTTTAAAAGTTAACTCTGAGGTTAAGCCAATCTAAATTTTTATTTACTGCTGCTGATGGCAACCAGATAGAGCTTCAGATGAGAATGTGGAAATAAAAATAAAAGTTGAAGAGAGAGAAAGAAGCTAATAGGAAAGAAAATATTAAGTAAAATCTAGTCAAGTTTGAGTTAAATAAAATACATAAGTAAATTACACACATTTTATAGTAAGAAGTCTCCAAGGCTTAAATCAGCCAATATATATGGCAATATTTGGAAATACATCAATGAATGCAGAATTATCTGTTTATATGATCGCTTTGAAACTGTTTTAAAAAATGTCACGTTTATTTGTTTATGTATTGTTTAAATTACTAAAAATGTAAAAAGGACAGTGATCAAAGATTCTTTAGTGTTGTTTGGAAGATAGAGATACAAAATACAGAGTTATCTGAACAAACATCTAGTGTTTTTAGTAGTGTTATTTTTGCATGCTAGTTCAGTGACAGTTATACTGCTTGACTATTTTTTTTAATTATACTTTAAGGTCTAGGATACATGTGCAGAATGTGCAGGTTTGTTACATAGGTATACATGTGCCATGGTGGTTTGCTGCACCCATCAACCCATCATCTAGCTTTTAAGCCTCGTATGCATTAGGTATTTGTCCTAATGCTCTCCCTCCCCTTGCACCACACAACCCCCGAAGTGCCCATCACTGCTTGACTATTTTTGAAACTCTTCAGTTGAAAATGACTTGAGAAGTTTATATGCCACACAAGAAATTAATCTGGCAATTTAAATATTTTCTCATTTTTAATTTTTGTCCAGTTTGCTCATAGGTAGCATTCCTAGACACAGGTTCAAATAAAGTTTGACTTTTTACAAACCCCAAGTCTACCCCCATGAATGAAGTCTTGCTATCATTTATGACATTTAAAAGAATGTTGCTGGTAGTCTGGAAACAAATGTGGATATGTATATAATCAGACTTATGACAAAGACAAAACTGCAATTCAGCAGGAAAAGTATTAACTTTTCAATAAAGGATTGTAGATACCCATAAGGAAAAATGTATATTGGCCCCCACATTGCTTCATACTAAAAAATTTATTGCACATGAATCAAAATCTAAATGTGAAAGACATGAAACTAGAGCTATTGGAAGAATAAATAGAACATCTTGGATACTTTTGAATAGGCAAAGGTTTCTTAAATCAGGCCCATTAAGACTAAATATAAAACAAAAGTAATTGACAAATCAGACTATATTAAATGTAGGCAATTCTGTTCAGCAGAAAATACCATTCAGCAACGGAAAAAGTAACCAATACGGTTGTAGAAGACATTCCTAATGCATATATCTGACAAGGCACTCATTGGATTAAGAATACATACACACACAAACACACACACACACACACGCACCCACCAGAAATTCAAATTCAAATGAAAAGGAGAAAACTAAAAAAAATTTGACAAAGAACTTAACATATTTTACAAAAAAGATATCCAAATTGTCAATTTTATAAAAAAGGGCCTTAATTTTATTAGTGAAATAAAATTTAAGCTATAATGATATGTAATTACAAATCTGTCAGAATAATTAAAATTTTTTACAAAGGAATATATACCAAATTTGAAAGATTGTGGCAAAGCCCAACAATAATAAACTGTTGGCAGGTGGATAAACTGATACAGCAATTTTAGCAAACTCTTTTGCAGTATCTACTCAACAAAAAATATGTGTACAATGTAGCCCAACTGTCTAATACTGTACATTAGATTAAATCCTATGAAACTGCTAATTTCCAATTGTTTGCGACTTACAAGCAGCAATTTCATATGGTTTATGCACCCAAAAGGAAAGTTTCCATATATTCACCAAATGTTATTTTTAAAATATTTTAAGTAGACCTATTTATAATAGTCCCAAACTGGAAACTAACGAAACACCCAACAGTAGAATCAACAAGTAAAATGTGATTTATTTATACAGTTGACTACTATAAATAAGTGATATGATTTACAGCTAAACACAACTATATGTTGTGCCCAAGGATATTATTGATGAAAGAAGTCAGTCATTAAGAAGTGCACAATATATGATTTTGGTTATATAAAGTACAAAATAGTCAAAACTAACCTAGATGTTAATAAGTCCTCAGATTTGTTACCCTTATTTGGATTAGGTAGTAGCTATAGTAGCTGAAAGAGATCACAAGAATTCTTCTGATGTGTGAATGACGATCTGTTTCTTGATATGGTGCTCAGTTCACCAGTTTTTGAAGATTTGTTGAGCTGTATTTAGATATGTGTAGTTCTCAATATAAAAATTATGCTTCACTAATTAAAAAATAATAATAGTGTCCCCATGTTATGGCGGTACATATTAAAGATAAATTTAAAAGTATTTAGAGAAGCAATTGACTGCTGAGAAAGTGCATAGACTACTGAACAATACCAGACTGTCAAAACGGACTCTCCTTGCACTATTTTCTATGATTTTGACATAAATTTTTGTACATGAAGATTACCACATTAGATGTTTTTAGGCAGAAATGGCAGGAACAGTTATATAGAGTAGCAATAATTCAAATTCAAATGCACCCATAAACTTCAGCATTATGATTTCCTTTACCCAATAAAATGGAAGTGATGTTTTAAATAATTTCATACCTTGTACAAAATGATTTTATGATATTAGTCACTAGCTTATAATCGTCCTTTTCATTTCTATGGTGGATCTTATATAATTTTGGACCAACAATATTTTATGTCACTGCTTACCATCAGTTTTTAACTTCTACAATTTGACAATGTTAGTGATACTTAATAACATTTAATATCTCAATTGTACAAAAATCAATTTTTACATTACTTACATTCATGCATAAAAAATCATTTCAATTGAAATGGTCCAAGTTTGGTTTTCACTGGTAGTTACAAACCAGTTGTTCATCCATTTTTAGGAGAGATAATAAATATCTTTTTAGATTAACAAACTGTTTTTATTCGTCGGACATAGTTGCACTGTGAGATAGCTGTTCCATTAACTCCTCAAAGAAATTTTAGGGATCTCATTCCTTTTTTTCCAAAAATATCAACACGATATTTTCTATGGATAAGGAAACACTGTTGGCAGTATCTATAAGCAAAACTGGACGTGAAAACGCCATAGATGTTAATTAAACTGCAAAATGAATTAAAATAAATATTAGACTTTTAAAAATATTTTTTTTTAATCAGTTAAGATTATGCCCCAAATCTTAAGTCTGTTAGAATCTATATTCAGGACTCAAGACCCTACTATAGTTGGAATTCATTTACATTTGAAAGTAGATAGGAATAAGAGATAATGAGAATAACTTACCTTTGTATAGCAGTTTATATATTTGGAAGCTGACTCTAGAAAGCCAATTTCTCCAGGATCATACATTTAGCACATACCAGAGCTGGGGCTGAATAACAGATTAAGAATTTTTTGCTTAGTGTAGTTTCCACCATGTTAAGATTTCACTTTCAAAAAATTGGCCAAAATCTTTGTTCTAATTTAACTTAAATAAAAGAGAAAAAAAATCCAAGTCAGGGATAGTTTGACTACAGAGGAGAAATCATACATGAGGTGTCAAATTATCCCCTGACATAGATTTTTTTAAAATACTTTTTAACTCACAGTTTATAGGATCTGTAAGTGATAACAATAAAAGGGGTGTAAAACTAGGGAAAGTAACATGAAAACTAGTGACATTGAGTCATAGGTTTGTTCCTCGACTTGTTCCCCGTGAGCTCAGGCCCTTTGGGCCCCTTGTCTCACATGAACCAGAGGAAAGGTTATTCTTAGGCAGAGAAATTTGACATATTAGTCATATTCTTTGAGCCAGCTGGGGTGAGAGGGAAATACTATCACAAAATTAAATAGGCAAAAGCCTACAGGCAATCAACAACTACTTAAGATTTATAATTTTAGGGACTTTAATGTGGCCTACTGAATGCATAACAGGTGATTGTCATGAGCAGAGCAAAGTTAGAAATAACCAGGTCCATACATGCTTGTATCTTTCCACAATGTCAGGCTTTTCCTGATGCTATTTTAATCACAAAAGCTACTAGCTACATGGAGTTCCCAAGGAGGTAATTCAACTTAGTACTTCCCATCCACTCGATAGTCAGAGCTGCAGGCACACAGGCCCAAGCCACTCCACAAGTCAGTCAATATTGCAAACCATACATAATAGTATATATAATCAATATATAAATTCTACAAGTTAAGCATGCCACAACACACAAAGTAACATTTCACATCAAGAGAAAAAAAGATAGAAGAAAGGGTAACAAACCGGTCCAGGGGAAGCAAAGAAGACAAAAGGAAGGATTCTTGGTCTGGGCCTGGTAGTCCATCAAGCCTTGCAAGGAAGAGTCTTTGAGGTGGCAGAGCCTTCAGTGGCAGATGCCAAGTTCTTATCACGAGTGAATGCAAAATGGTGTCAGTTAAGATGGCCATTTTAAGCTGCTGGAGGTCTAATCTTTTATAATCACAGAGTCCTCTGGTGAGAACTGATAATGGAAGAGTGTGCTTGTTTGTGTCCTTATCTGGTTGGATGCAGTCTTTATTTTTTGTTGTTGTTATTTATTAAATGAAACACCTTATTCTTGCTGACAAAGTGCCCTATGAAATATCAAATGGAGTCTTTTTCTAAGATGGAGTTAGTTACGTCAAGTGTGCTCTATACAGTGATATTAAAAGTTGTACTGCCCACATGCCATTCCTTTAACTTAAATACTGACCCCTCAAAAGATATTCAAGTATATAGAACTAACAATTATCTATATCTCATTTATATTTATATTGATGTAGATCAAGCTTGTCCAACCTGTGACCCACAGGCCGCATGTGGCTCAGGACAGCTTTGAATGCAGCCCAAGACAAATTCATAAACTTCTTAAGACATTATGAAATTTTTTTGCAAATTGTTTTTTAGTCAGCTCATCAACTATGGTTAATATTAGTGTTAGTGTATTTTATGTGTGTCCCAAGACAATTCTTCTTCCATTGTGGCCCAGGGAAGTCAAAAGATTGGACACCCCTGGTATAGATACCTAAAATCCAATTTATCTATATATTTCAATATCCAAATAGATCAAAAGATATTCAAATAGGAATTTAAAATTTATTTAAAACATTTATATATGTAGAAGTTATCATAGTATTTTATTTTTATTAAATCAAAATCTGATTCTGCGGCGTCATCCCTTTGAAATGGTGGAAAATTCAGTCTTAGGTACCCCTCAAGCTCCTGTAGGTCTTTCACAGAGCACATGTTTAGTGCAACTCTTAATGCTATTCAGACTTTCTCAAGATCAGAATTTAAGACATATAACAAAATTAGTCTTATGAAATTTAAGTTTATTTTTAATAATGTGAAATGGTGATTTAATAACATTTTAATGAAAATGTACTTCACATAAAATATAAAGGTAATTTAAAAGCTACCTTTTTTTTAGTTTTCTACTTTGATGATTGAGCAGATCTTTTTCACTGCTATATGTAAGGGTGGGCTCTATACACACAGTCTTCATTCTTAACACTTATGGTGAGGATAACAGTGACTAATTTGAAGTCATTGAATATCTTTGGCATTAAAAATGTGCCACGTATGTTTATAGATCAAACTATATAAATGGCTATTACTTCATGAATTTAAGCCCTATTAATACCTATGTGTATTTAGAATTTAAGGTTTCTCACTTGAATGAACTTCTGGCCCAAATCTATTTTCATTGTCATGGGAATGCTAATAAACTAATAACATGTTAGCAGTTTCATCACAAGGTAAGTAGCTCTACTTAAATTGAAACATCTTTAACAAACATTTTTAACTTACCAGATAGAATTGACATCCTTACCTATGTAGGGTTGTAAACGTTTAGAAATTAGAGCTTTTCTTATTCACAAGAGTTAAACTATTCCATACTACAGAAAGTGTGCTAAGCAATACGTTTTGCCCAGTCCAAAAATCTACCTCTCACACCTTTCCTCTATTTTATAGTAATTCCATTATATCTCAGAGGTTTATTATTAACTAACTTATAATTGTAGCAACTAACTTATAATTGTAGCACTTGAAAACTTCTTTAGGAACAGTTTCGAGCAAATACACTCAGAGACAGAGAGCATAAATGGAGAATAAAACACACGGTAAGCCCTTTTGTGTGCGTGTGTGTGTGTGTATATATATATATATACGTGTATATATATATATATATACGTATATATATATATACGTGTATATATATATACACGTATATATATATATACGTGTATATATATATATACACGTATATATATATGTGTGTGTGTATATATATATATATATATATATATATATATATATATATATAGGATGACATGGTTCAGGAATGGAGAATGAAGAGGTCTCTGAAGTAAAGACGATGCAGTAATGAGATTCAAGATTAATTATTTCCAAGTTTTGCCACAGACAACTTCTTTTGAACTGAAGCACTGCTTCTAGATTGATATATTCAAACTATATAATTAACAGGGTTTTTTAAAATGTAGAAACTTCTTCATTCTCTAGGAACATATTCCATGACAATATTCTAACTCACAATACTCATAACAAGGAGATAAAGTTGTTTCCACATTTCTTGACAATATTTTTACAGTTGCTAACCTTTCCTTGTTAAAAAGCGACGTACTTAAGAGATAAACTTTTGAAGCACCTCTTGAATTTTAAAATGAAAAGCAATGTAAAATGTTTAAACTGCTTTCGATTTGTGCCTTTCCACGGGGCTACCTTTTTTCTAAATCAATAAATGAACCAGAAACATCAGAGTACATGTGGGGACACTAATGCACTTTGGAAACATAGAATGTTGTCTGTCTTACGAAGGTAGGTGTTAAGTTAAGGGACCCAATTCTTTAAAAAAAAAAAAAAAGAGTTGTTGTGAGAAGAATTGGTGTGTTTTGAAGATTTATTTCTTTTTTTTATTATTATACTTTAAGTTTTAGGGTACATGTGCACAACGTGCAGGTTAGTTACATATGTTTACATGTGCCATGTTGGTGTGCTGCACCCATTAACTCGTCATTTAACATTAGGTATAGCTCCTAATGCTATCCCTCCCCCCTTCTCCCCCCACCCCACAACAGGCCCCTGTGTGTGATGTTCCCCTTCCTGTGTCCATGTGTTCTCATTGTTCAATTCCCACCTATGAGTGAGAACATGCAGTGTTTGGTTTTTTGTCCTTGCGATAGTTTGCTGAGAATGATGGTTTCCAGCTTCATCCATGTCCCTACAAAGCACATGAACTCATCAATTTTTATGGCTGCATAGTATTCCATAGTGTATATGTGCCACATAAAACAATTACTCCACATCTCGGAGGAGATCATCACTGGCATGGAAGAAAGAAAATGGAAGACATGGGAAACGGAGCTGAGTCAAGTACTGAAAGATAATTTGCCTCTGGGAAGTGGCTTCCTCACAAACCAAGAGAGCTATAACCCTACATCCCAAGAATGATACATTATGTGAAGTTACAAGACCCGGATGTGGAATCAGTGCAGAGGGTGTTATGTATCCATCATGGCACTGTGCAGAACTGAACATGTCAAGAAGTAGCATAGCAAGATGGTACTGATTTCATCCCATTAATTTATGTGTGGATTTGGGAAAATTATGTTTGGACAGAAAGGAAATGCCTGGGTTTTTTGAGAAATATAAAATGTGAGTGGAAAGTGAGGTTTGATATTTTAATATAACAATCTCTGGTTAATATACATCTTCCTTTCTTAACCTGCTGATTAACATTATTTCTTCAAAATATTTCACCCCACCTTCCTGATTTCAGAAATCTTGTCTTTTATTTCGGGTATCTGAACATTTTTATCTTTATAATAAAAATCTGTAAAAATTGTAAGCCATTTACACCTATTTTACCTGGTTTTGGCCATTTCAGATAACTAGAAAGCAAAATATTTACAAATCCTAATCTTCCTTTTCTACAAATACAATAAAATGAAAGAGGTAATTTTTTTTAATAGGCATAACATCAAAAGTTGTCTTCATTTAATTCTTTTTCTCATTTGTCTAATCTTAATTCTCCAATTGGAAGTCTTTTGGGGTAGCCTCACTCAGTAGATATTACCTCTACACAAAAGTAATTTACAGAGAATCCCTTAGAGAGACTCTCATAATATGAAACCAACAACTCAATACTGTTCTTGCAAAATATCCCATAAAACTCCAGTACCTGGGTAATGCAATCTCTTGAATGAAATTTCAAAATATTTCCACCATCTGATTCTAAGAAATAGCTGCCTATATTTTACCATGAAATGCTGCAGTCTCGATGCTGTCAATGAAGCAACTAAAGCAGAAGTTGCTGGCCTTCTACACATCCATTGTCGGAGCAGCAAAAGTTGAAAAGATTGGACCACATCAGGGCAGGACTTACTAACTGCACTAATAGTCTACTCCAGGCCAATGAAAAAGCAACTTCTGTCAGGGCGAGGTGGCTCACACCTGTAATCCCTGCACTGTGGGAGGCTGAGGTAGGCAGATAGCTTGAGCTAAGGAGTTTGAGACCAGCCTGGGTAACATGGTGAAATCCCTTCTATACAAAATACAAAAAAAAAAAAAAAAAAAAAAAAATTAGCAGGACATGGTAGCACGTGCCTGTAGTCCCAGCTACTTGGGAGGCTGAGGTGGGAGGATAGCTTGAACCTGGGAGGCGGAGGTTGCATTTAGCTGAGATTCTGCCACTGCACTCCAGACTGGACAACAGAGCCAGACCATATATCAATAAATAAATAAATAAATAAATAGGCTGGGCGCAGTGGCTCACACCTGTAATCCCAGCATTTTGGGAGGTCAAGGCAGGTGGATCACCTGAGGTCAGGAGTTTAAGACCAGCCTAACCAACATGGTGAAACCCCATTTCTACTACAAATACAAAAATTAGCCCAGGCATGGTGGTGCACGTCTGTAATCCCAGCAACCTGGGAGGCTGAGGCAGGAGAATTGCTTGAACCCGAGAGGCGGAGGTTGCAGTGAGATCGCGCCATTGCACTCCAGCCTAGGTGACAAAAGCAAAATTACATCTAAAAAAAAAATAAATAAAAGAAAGAAAGAAAGAAAAGAAAAACAAAAACCTAGCACAGAAATGGCAAGCTCACGCAATGCATGCCACCATCACTTTCTACTTCTCTTTCTACATTTATCACTAGCACCAACCCTGGCCTCAGAAGCTATATCAACACAGCAATGCAGGTAGCTACTATGAAGTGACAGTAGTGGACAAACTGGTTAAAACACATCTTTTCTCTTAGAATAGCTTGTTTGGGCCGGGCACAGTGGCTCACGCCTGTAATTCTAGCACTTTGGGAGGCTGAGGCAGGTGGATCACCTGAGGTCAGCAGTTTGAGACCAGCCTGACCAATATGGTGAGAAACTCATCTTTACTAAAAATACAAAAAAAAATAAAATAAACATAGCTAGGCATGGTGGTGTGCACCTGTAGTCCCAGCTACTGGGGAGACTGAAACAGGAGAATTGCTTGAACCTGGGAGATGGATGTTACAGTAAGCCGAGATCGCCCCACTGCACTCCAGCCTGGGCGACAGAGGGAGACTCTGTCTCAAAAAAAAAAACAAACAAAAATAGCTTGCTTGTAGAAATTGTGGCTCATACCCAATTACACAGGGCACTCCCAAGGATGCTAGCTTACTTAAACTATTAGCCATCTTTAAATTTCATACATTTTTTTCATCTGAACTTTCATCTTTTGGTACTGGTGTTGTTTTGGCCACTCTTACTCCTGGCCCAAACCTCCTTCCATATTCTCTCAGTAGAGACTGTGATACTCCAGCCTTGACACAAACAGCTTACATATTCTAAATGATATCTAAATATAAAATTAAGGTTTATTATACAAAAAGTAAGAAAGACCATACTTCACATAATGTGCTATACATCCATGATGTATTCTACAGTATACTTACCTCACTAGAGTAGGATTCAGTTTTGTGCATATCACTAGAATCATTTTTTTTCTCTTTAAACTTTCTTTTAATGTTCTAACTTTATTTAGTCTTATAGAACTCCAAAATAACTTCTTATATTTTCTAACTTTATTTCTGCTTCTGGTCAAGGAGCAGAAACCAAGATTGGAGAAAGAAATCTTGTTTTTAGAAGTATGTAGAATAAGTTTCTATGACAACCATGACCCTTATGCCTGTAGACATTCCTCTTTTGAAATCCAGGGGAGCTAAAAATAAAAGACTCTTTTGAAAGCCACCATTTCTGTTGTATTGGCTGCATGACTCCCCACTATGTAAGTCAAGGAAACCTAGCTCCGAGAAAAGTTTCTACAGGCATTTTTTTTTCCTAAGCCATATTTCACTAGACTCAACTCAACTCTCCAATCCTATTACTTTTCTATCGTCCCTCTTACCCACCCACATCTTATGATTGAGGAGAAGGCTGTGCCTATAAAAAGAACATTTTTTTTTCCAGTGGAATTAGGTAAAGGGAAAAAAAATACCTGACACATGTTCTCATTTGGTCTGAGAAGAAGTCCTTGCCTATCAAATGCTTTGTGTGTTAAAATGAATAGTCACTGATATTATTAGTATAGGGCCTTATTCCTTGTTATAACCCATAACTTATGACATGTCATAAGTTAAAAAGAAACTTAAATTACTTGTTCTTTATGTGCTGGAGAGGGATATGATAGACAGGGATAGATACACATGCTTTGATTTTTGGTCATAGACATACACATTTATGTATCCTTTTATAGATATGCCTTCATATATATGTATGTTTATATAATGACATCTCTTATAATGATAGAAACATAGATATTACTTTTAAAACTATTATTTTAAGTCTACAGAAATATAATCTAAAAATGTGTGTTTTTACAATAACTTAAATAATAGGGTTGGCTTTGAAAATGAATAAACTCCATGTGATGAATACTTCCAATTTATTTAATTTCTAAGTGATAGAAACAGAAATATTATTTTAAAAGGTGTCTATTGGAAGAAGTGTGTCTGCGTGTGTGTGCGTGTGTGTGTGCGCGCGCCTCTGTGTTTTCACTGATCCAATTCAAGAAGGAACTGTAAATACCCAGGATACTGTTCTTTCTTTACTATATGATTCAGGATTCTTTTTTTTTTTTTTTTTTTTTTTTTTGAGACTGAGTCTCACTCTGTCTCCCAGGCTGGAGTGCAGTGGCGCGATCTCAGCTCACTGCAAGCTCCACCTCCCGGGTTCACGCCATTCTCCTGCCTCAGCCTCCGGAGTAGCTGGGACTACAGGCGCCCGCCACCACGCCCGGCAAATTTTTTGTATTTTTTTTAGTAAAGACGGGGTTTCACCGTGTTAGCCAGGATGGTCTCGATTTCCTGACCTCGTGATCCGCCTGCCTCGGCTTCCCAAAGTGCTGGGATTACAGGCGTGAGCCACCGCGCCCAGCCATGATTCAGGATTCTCATAACAACTAACAGAAAACAATGTGTTTTAACATTGTAGAAAAAGACATAAGGCAAGGAACGAATGGTTCCCATTAGGAGAGTCTAATGTAATTATTTGGAAATGAAAAGTTCAATAGACCATTTTGCAAATGTATGAAGAGCTTTTAAAAAAAAAATTACCTGCATTCTGCTTAAGAAACCTAAGCACAGACTGAAAAGGATATTCGATTTTACTTTTCTATCTGAGATTTTGGTATGATCATGTGTATTATTCCTCACATTGCAAAGACAAGCAGTTTTTATGTTTGGTAATGACCACACAAGGTGGTAAGCAACAGAAATGGTATATTCAATTATCAACAGCTGAGAAGCCTAGGATTAGGAATTGAAGCCCTCAGTTTAGATAGCACTAATCTGGGATCACAGTTTAAATATTACTAAAGTGAGTGTTTTGATCCATATTAAGCTGAGAAGTATTTTTGCACCCTGATAAAACAAGTTCTTTTTTTCTCCCTCTTTTCTCCTAGCTTTTGTCCTCAATTGCCCTAATTTAGGTGTCTACTACGGATTTTATTGAAACTTATTGGTTGAGAAACTTATCTTGCAGCTGTGTCAGCAAGCCTTTAGATATTCAAACAAAATTCTTCCCCTGTGAGAAAATTTTATCTATTATGAACAACACTATGTTCAAAATAATTTTTCTGGTTTTAATGTGCTTTCCTTTTTCCACCAATATACATACTCTTAAATCTTATTTGTATGAATACCATGAAATATTTGCAGATTGGCATATTGGGTGTGATTTTTTTGCAGTAATGACGAATTGTTAAATCTTCGTATTCTCTATAAACTCAATACGTAACCATTTTATGTGGGCTTGAAGTTTTCTTATGTTGTTCCTTTAAAAGAGTTTGAAAGAGACCAGCAAGCTGTTGGTTCAGGTCTTGGCACTGGGCATTGCTGCAGTGATTTCAATGTCCTTCAGCTTCTACTGCCAAAGAATGATGTAATCAATTTGATGCCATCATCTGGCCCGAGGGGCATCTCTTTGATGTATTTTAGGCATAATGTGGTGACCACGAGTACACTGCTGCTTAGCCCACTTTTAAAGTTGGTTAAGTGAGTAATTGCGGGTAGTCCAAGTCCTACATAATCTTATTCAGGCTAAACTAGTACTACTAATCTATAAAGGAAAAATTGAAATCAAGATTATTATTTGGCCGGGTGCAGTGGCTCACGCCTGTAATCCCAACATTTTGGGAGGCTGAGTCGGGCAGATCGCTTGAGGTCAGGAGTTTGAGACCAGCCTGGCCAACATGGTAAAACCCTGTCTCTGCTAAAAATACAAAAAAAATTAGCCATGTGGTGGTGCACACCTGTAATCCCAGCTACTCGGGAGGCTGAGGCAGGAGAATCGCTTGAACCCAGGAGGTGAAGGTTGCAGTGAGCCAAGATCACACCATTGCACTCCAGCCTGGGTGACAGAGCAAGGCTCTGTCTCAAAAATAAATAAATAAATAAAAATAACATTATTTGATTCCAGTAATGTGGTGAAGAATCTGCCTAGATCTTCTTGCTGCACTCAAATGTTACCCCAACATTGTATGTTGTAGTTGTAGCAGGCAATCATGTGCCGATGACTTGTCCCTGTCTGGAAAAGCTGGTATATGATCAAAGAGTCATCAATATATTTTGCCAAACCTATAAATTTTTAAAGAGTGACTTGACAAATACTTTTAAAGAAAGCCTTAAAATGGCAATCATACTTAGCTTCATCCTGTACATCATACTATACATCAGTTCTACAGTCTTACCTCATCCCTGTATCTCTATCTCTTCTATTTTTCTTTTCTGTTTTCTTATCTTCAAAATAACACGATTTCCTGAGGGCCTTTTCTGTCTCTAAAAATTCTACAAATTTATAACTGATTACAAAGTCAACACTTCAGATAGGTTATTTTGAGGAAAGAAGGCTATTCAAAAATATAGGCATATTCAGTATGTTTTAAATTTACTAATATGCTAACTGCTAGAGTATCAATTCAAAGAAGATCAGACCCTCAAATGATGCATTTTTATACTCACTATCACATAAAGACTCATTTCAGTATAAATGCAGCTTTTGCACACATGGTACCGAAGGTTCTTTGGTCTCAAATAAATAAATATGTTTCCTACAGTTTAAACCAAAGGGGATTTATTATTAGGACTCAAAAGCATCTCCCAGACCAGAATATCAGGGAGTACACCTGGACCCTGTGAAAGAATTGAACTAGAGTCTGGAGAACATTAGGAGATTCATGAAGTCAGATTCTGTGCTTCTCTCTAAGCAGTTCTAACTATGGCTACATCAACTTGAAAATCACTTCTTCATAAGAGCTTTGCCTTTTCCAACTGCTTTCACCACTAAGCATTTCCTCCTATGACACTTTCTCATTGCAAGTGTGTTTGCTTTTTTGATTTGATACTTAACAGAATTTCAATTAATTACATATTTACTATATGAATGTGCTTATGTTTATGTTGTATCCATTTATAATGTCGGTTTCACTGTGACCTGAAGCTCTCAGAAGGCATGGATCATAATTAAGTTTGTTAATGTTTCCTAAACACCTAGCACAATGCCCAATTAAAATAAGTTCCCAAACGGCTATTGAATGAATGAATGGGACCACATATCCTTTTCATCTTTACCACTCTCTGTACAGTAAGTTTTATTTTTTTTCTATTCATACCGATCTGCTTCCTTATTTATCAATACTTATGGGTGAAATTGAGCATTGATCAGCTACCTATGCATCTTAGTTCCAAATACTACCCATAAGATTATCATACTGTATAATAATAGAATGTAAGGGCTAAAAGAGCTCCATTTGGCTTCACTAATTGAAAATAAAAAAAGTTTTCAAGGCACAGTAGAAAACAGCCAAGATTACAATACAAGCTTCCCGCTTCCCCCATTAAAATTGTAGTTTTATGTAGCGAGACCAAGATCACCTGTTCTCTTTTGAAAGTAAAGAACACTGAAGCATATCGAGTCAATATATTTTAGCTACTACTGTTTTCAGTAGTGATGGTGATGGATATTGTAAAGGATTAAAAAAGTATAAGAAAATTTCTACCATATAGGAACTTAGACTAACTCTGAAGTCAAATTTGACATACAGTAAAGACCACAGTCACAAATAAAACCATAGCCTTCTAGCACTTAAGCAATTATGTTCTTTTTCCCTTTGGAATATTTTTGAATTCATAGAGAATACATTTTTGACATAGTATGCCAATATATGAAAAAAATTATGCACAATTTTTATATGTGTATGCTTATGTGTGTGTGTATCAAATATGCACCAACTATATGGAAAACATAGTGAAAAATTTTATAAAGTGTTTAAATTTTGCAAGAGAATATGTTGTTGATTTTTCCACAATCATTTTGTGTGCACGTGTGTGTGTGTGTATGTATGTATGTAATAAGGAAACATTACAAGATAAAAACAAATAAATACAATAGCTATCTGGGTGGGACAAAAATAGTGAGGTGGAAAAGACATAGATAGAAGCTAATTTTTGTTTGTTTGTTTGTTTTTTAGGGTGTCTCATTTGTACAATTGTTAATTAGCCTTTGCCATCCTAAACTCATTAGGAATAATTCTTATCTGTTAGACCAATCAAACATTATTTTTATGGATTATGTAATCATCTAAGCAAACAGCTTTGTTGAAAGCAGGCTCTAAGGATATTTGCTGCAAGAATAAGCAGTAATAAATATAGATCACCAATAAAACAAATGCATTGATTTTGCATTTCTTTCAGGTGTTACCACAATGTCATTCATGATCTTTTCTCCTCAACTAAATTCAGGAGAATAAATTTAGTTGCCATAATTAGTTCTTTAATTTATTTCTTTAGAGGCAATTAGCATAAAACTTAGTCATAAGCCTTGTTTCAGTCTCCACCTTTTTCCTCTTGGAAGATTTTCCCATTACCTGTCTCTTGGCACATGTAAGAATCAGGAACTATAATAATGACACTCCAGTTAGAGAAATTAAAGGAAATTGGACAATTTCAGAAAGGGCAGAGATAAAAATGTTTGTAGGCATCTTGGGATGAGATAGAGCAATAATAACAGAAAACTGAAACATGAAAATGTTGATTTCTTCACATATTTGCTTCAGAGCTTAGCTTTATTTGAAAAATGACATCCACAAAAATAGAAAGCAAAGTTAAAAGAAACTTGAAAAAAACGTATGGCCTTCCTTAAGAAAAAAATGAAAAAATTTAATAACAAATAGATTTTTGCAAGTTTCTGATTCAATGTATGTTTATATTATTATTAGCATTTACCTTTAATTCTAGGCTGTTGTGTCAATACACTGAGATGACCATATTTTCTAAACCAAAAATACATACACATTTCTAAAAATTTTTCCTAATGTTAAAATTTGTGAGCATTAAGAGAGTTATAACGTTTACAATATTACAAAATTAAATCAATGGGCTATGTGTTTAATTAATCTCCATTTTTGAAAATAATGAAATTATATAGCACTGAGTTTTGCCTAAAAGTGTATGTTTGCTTCTCATACGTATAACATTTATTTTCTTTGGTTCTTTCTGACAACTTGGATCTCATGAATAATAAGATGGCACATTGTCTCTAAAGACATAGAGGCTGGGAAATTACAGGAAAGTAGAGAATCATAGAACTTAGGAGTTACAGAAACTGTTAGAAGGGTTTTCTTTAATTTTTCTCCTTAGGAATCCTTTATCATCATATTGACACACGACTAAAATATTATTGGTTAAAAAATAAGATAATTTGAAAAATCACAACTTGAAAGACATGTAATGAGGGGGACAAAATGGTGACGTAGAAAAAAGTTTCAAGTTGCTGGAAGTTAGAAATCCTGATTTCTAATAGTTGCCCTATCACAGATTAGCTGTGTGATAATGTGCTCACAGAGTAACCAGGGAGGAGAAAGCTTTGGTTGCTAGTCTTTATTATTATTATTATTGTTATTATTATTATTATTATTATACTTTAAGTTTTAGGATACATGTGCACAACGTGCAGGTTTGTTACATATGTATACATGTGCCATGTTGGTGTGCTGCACCCATTAACTCGTCATTTAGCATTAGATATATCTCCTAACGCTATCCCTCCCTCCTCCCCCCGCCCCACAACAGTCCCTGGGGTGTGAAGTTCCCCTCCCTGTGTCCATGTGTTCTCATTGTTCAATTCCCACCTATGAGTGAGAACATGCGGTGTTTGGTTTTTTGTCCTTGCGATAGTTTGCTGAGTATGATGGTTTCCAGCTTCATCCATGTCCCTACAAAGGACATGAACTCATCATTTTTTATGGCTGCATAGTATTCCATGGTGTATATGTGCCACATTTTCTTAATCCAGTCTATCATTGTTGGTCATTTGGGTTGGTTCCAAGTCTTTGCTATTGTGAATAGTGCCGCAATAAACATACGTGTGCATGTGTCTTTATAGCAGCATGATTTATAATCCTTTGGGTATATACCCAGTAATGGGATGGCTGGGTCAAATGGTAGTCTTTAACATGGGATAATGAGGACAACCCTTTTTATCTAACAATGTTGTTATCTGGATCAAATATCAAAATGTATACAGAAGAATTTGCAAAACATTTATCCTCGAAGTGATAATAAAAATAAACTGATTCCTATTTTACCACAGCATCACAAAACTTTTGCAGAAAGAAGAGATTATTTAATTTAATGAAGATATATGGCACAATGATTTAAAATTAGGATTAACCTCTGTGTTGTGAAGCCTTCTATAGTTCAGACTGCAGAGACTATATTGTTTTAATAACAATGTTTGGTTTGACATGTTCCCCAAGCATCTTTAGGACTGAACCTAGAAACACTTTCAAGAAGGTACAGATTTTTATTCCCTTCCAATCTCCATTGTGCTGCTGCTTTTTTTAAATAAATCGAATAATTATGAAGTATTTCAAAATTATAAAAATGACAGAAGAATATAATTACCGTGAAGAAATCATACAAATATGAACATTTTCACCATTTGCTTCCCACTCAGAATTTTTGAGTAAATAAAAATCTTATAAAGTTGAAGCTCTTCTCCTTTTTCATAGATAACTAAGCTCTTGAAGTTGATATCTTTCCATTCCATAATGACAGTTTTCTTAAACATCAATATGTCCATGAATAGCCTATGACAGTTTGTGTTATTTTCAAACATTTATATAAAGGTTTCTGTGGTGATTATCTATTGGCAACTCAGAGATATGTTTAAACATTTATGCTCTTTCCAGCATCACAGGTGCTTGGGAGCCTGGGAAATATGTTTTTCAAAATCCTTCCCAGTGGTGTTTTGGTTGTTTTCTCACTATACTTATATGAGATTGCATTATAGTAAAGGTTTTAATTTCTTAACCAATCTGAAAGGTTTATTTGTAATAGATCTTAGATTTTTTCAAATCATAAATGACTGTCTACCAAGTTTGTTTATAAAGTCCAACTGCAAGGCATCTGGCAAATTGAAAGGACAATTGTCTGATGTCAGATACTGTTGGTTTTCCAGTTCTGCCATTTCCTTTAAATTCTAAATTTTCTTCCAGCTCTCTGTGTGCGTTTGCATGTCAGTTAATACTTGAATTATAAAATGTGGCACACTTTTTATACACCAACTCTATGGGAAGGAACTGTGAAAAGGATACAAAGAACGAGTTGTATAAAAGTGCCCCCACTAACAGGTATATGAAAAGGTGCTCAACATCACAAATCATCAGGGAAATGCAAATAAAAACAACGAGATCACTTCACACTTATTAGGATGGCTGTTATTATATATATCAAATATGATACATATATCATATATATCAAATTTTAGTGAGAATATAGAGAACAGGGAACCCTTTTATACCGTTGATGTAAATGTAAATTGGTGTAACCACTACCGAAAACCGTATGGAAGTTCCCCAAACAACTAAAAATAGAGCTATCATATAATCCAGAAATCCCACTTCTGGATATACATCCAAAGGAATTGAAATTGGGATCTCTAAGAGACATCTACATTCCATGTTATTGCAGCATTATTCACGATAGCCAAGACATGGAAGCAACCTCAGTGTTCATTAACGGGAAAATAAAGAAAATGTAGTATATAAATACAATGGAATTTTATTCAGTCTTAAAAAGAAGGAAATCCTGCCACCTAAGACAACATAGATGAACCTGGGGGACGTTGGCCAAGTGAAATAAGCCAGAGACAGAAGAACAAATACTACATGATACCACTTATATAGTGACTCTAAATAGTTAAGTTCATAGAAGCAGGGAGTGGAATGGTAGTTGGCAGGGCCTGGGGTAAGTGAGAGAAAATGTGGAGGCATTAGTCAAAGAGTGCAATTTCAGTTGCGTAAGATAAGCAAGTCGTAGAGATCTGTACAGCATACGCCTACAGTTAATAATCCTGTACTGTATATTTTAAAACTTAAGAGTATAGATCTAAGTTAAATTATTTTATCAATAACAATAATAGCAATAAAAACAAGAAGGGTAAGTTTTGCAGGTGATATATAGGTTCATGGCATAAACTGTGATGATGATTTCAAGGATATAAACATCTCCATCAAGTTGTATACATTTTAATTATGTACAGCTTTTTGTATGTCAAATAAATTTTTAGGAAGAAAGGAAGGGTGCCCCATGCTATTGTGAAATTATCAATATTTGAATCCTCTTCTTCCCTACCCATTATCTGCTCAGTTGAAACAATAGAAAGTCTAACAACTTCTTCCAGGTTATATAGATGTTTAGAGCCCCAAATCTGTGTGAATATCATCCATTCCTGCTTCATTCTTAAGAAAGAAACTCATCAATAAATTTTCTGTTGACTCTCTTGGGTCTTTGGCTGGATTTGGATGTTGCAATATGTTAGACAGTCTCAATTTAGTTCCATTGAAAATGTAAATGTATCCAATTAAAAATAGTAACAACAGGTCGGGCGCGGTGTCTCATGCCTATAATCCCAGCACTTTGGGAGGCCGAGGCGGTTGGATCACGAGGTCAGGAGATGGAGACCATCCTGGCTAACACGGTGAAACCCTGTCTTTACTAAAAATACAAAAAATTAGCCGGGCGTGGTGGGGGGCGCCTGTAGTCCCAGCTACTCCGGAGGCTGAGGCAGGAGAATGGAGCGAACCCGGGAGGTCGAGCTTGCAGTGAGCTGAGATTACACCACTGCACTCCAGCCTGAGTGACACAGCGAGACTCCATCTCAAAAAAAAAAAAAAAAAAAAAAGTAACAACATTAAACAGTTGCCCACAGTTTAAGATGCTTCAAGTATTATTATATAAATTCAAAACCAAATTCAGTACATTATTTGAACTTGCATTGCATATTTTGTTCAATTTAACCTTCCTTTAGTAGAGTTAAATGTCTTTCTGCTTGCAAGTATTGTTTTTATAATTTCAATTTGCTATAAACTTCAAAGAATTAATTTAGGGCCGTCATTCATTGGTTATTTTGATTAAAGTTTTACAACTAATTTTGAACAAAGTACAAATATAAAATCATAGTAGACTTGTGTAGAGAAATTTAAACCTTTTGTAGTACAGTTAGGTTGATTTTGAAAATAGCACTTCAAAGGCTCATGTATTTCTAAAATAAACTTGCTGATGAGTAGAAAAAAGAAAGAGCTTATACAATTTTTTGCTTGTTTTCAACATCAGGCTTAGCAAAACAGCTTGGTAGTTTAGTTATTATGTATATACCTAACATATTTATAAATTTCAACAACTTCATTTCTATTGGTAGAATATTGCATTTTGTTTGAGCATAATTATGAATTATATCGAGTTTCTGTACCACATATTGGTTTGTTTGTACCACAAAGTACATCTCTGCTCCCTGGTTTCTTTTCTTTGGTTACAAAATTGTTTTGACCATGGAGTTATACCACAATGAAATTAATATTCATAATATCACTGAAACAAAATTAACATTGAACTTTTAGCTAAATTTATAATAGCATTCATAATGTCAGCTATTTCACTTGAGATATTTAACTTAGCAATATCTAAGTGTGTGCTTATGTACTTGTGTGCTTTTTCTCTACACACACAAAATTTCTAACCAAGAATTAGCATAATTAACTTAAAAGGTCATTCATTTGATCTAAATGAAAAATAATGCCCAAGAGTTGTATATTAATGCATCTTTTGCAGCTGCACAGCTAGTATTGCCATCTTTGAATACAGTGTTCTTAAAAATAACTTTTAACTTTTAAAGTAATTGCTGATTCTTGACCAACAGATTAGTGTCTTCTGGGTTTCACAAGGATAGTAATGATATGCAACCCACAAAGGATGGCAACTTTTGATCAACTTTTCTGTAAGACATACATGTATCATCTATTTTTTGAAAGCATAAATTTAATACAAATTTCTTATTAAATATGCATTTATATTTTTACATTTATTGTTGTCAAAAAGGTTAATTGCAAAACAAAACAGCATCATTGAACAAGAATTATAGATTTTAACATAAAAAAATTAATAAAAAACTTTGGACTATAGACTATGTATGGCAGGACTACTTAATATTTATTTCCTACGTATACTATATATATATATATATATATATATATCTAATGTAAAATTTCTGATGCTTTCTACTGATATTACTAACTGGATTCTGGGGGCCTCATGTACCTCTCAGGCACTAAAAAGCACAATCGCCTAATTGAATGGAAACTCTAGTGGCCAACAGACAGCAGAATTGAATACTTCTGTAATACCACCCAAGTACAGAGTTAGTTGTCTTCAGCCATTCATATCCACAAGCAGTTAATTTTGTCAGCTGAGGCTTGCATGCTGCCCTTGAAAGGAAGGTCCTGGTTATATTGATATGTTTAAACCCTTACTAATTATCTTTCTGATTAAAGCAGGTATCAGAAAAAAATTTGTCTACTTTCTGTTGAGTTGTCTTCTGTAGATATAGTGAACCTAGTTGTTCACTACAGTTGAGGACATAGTAGAAATTGCAACTATAAAGCAGAGGCCTCTTAAACCCATCCCAATGAATTTTAAGGAGCCCCCAAATACTGATACACTATTTAAAATGAAAATAAATGCGGGACAGTTGCTAAATTGGGCAGAACACACGGAGGGGCCTCAGGCATAAATCATGAGTAGTCATAACCCTGAGTAGAACACTAAGACTGAGCGGAGGCTGGTCTTGCTGAGTTGCCAGTGCGCAACAGCTGGTAGAACTTGGCTTTGTATTGAGCAAGGGATTTGGGGCACATTGAAAAGAACGTGGAGAGGGGTAGCAGTGAAGTAGAAACCATCAGTGTTCACAGGGGAGATATCCTCATCCAGCCATTCTTAATTTATATGCAGTCACCTTCAGGAATCACACATTCGCCCAGGATGCCATGTTAGATTTGATTCGGATGCTCATCCTTGCTGAGATAAAACTGTCATCCTCCTTCCGATTTTCCTGGGAGTGCTCAAGCAGTTGGGAACCATTTCCTCTAAAACCCTCACAATACATAGTAGCTCCTTTTCCTGGAAGCTGCCTCATTCTACACTTCTTAGTGAAGCTATAGCAGATCAAGGCCATCCTTCTGCCTCTCACTCACTTTCTAATGGAGGTTGCTCTTTGTGAGTCAAAGGCTATTTTCAGGCATTCTTTGTGCTGAATACAAAGATAAAAACCAAACAATTTGATGTCTGATGAGGTGCTCTAACAAAAAGCAAAGATGTAGCAAATGGAGCCTCAAAATGAATTTCAGTATATGAAATTTTGTTTCTGCTTTCCGCTATTTCTTTATTAATCTATGAAATTCACAACTACTGCTTCATCCTGAAAGTAATCTCTTCTGATGTTAATAATTTATGTCTTTTCTACCTCATGTTGATCCATTTCTCTTGCCTCTTTGTTTATGGTACAAATCAAATAAAAGAGCCCACATTTAAAATATTCTCAGAGTATATAAAAACATAACTTCTACTGATGCAAGCAAACATGGTGATCTTTTCATTTGCCAAGTACACCTTCTGTCTTCTGGCTCAGAATGTCATTTTATTTAAAATAAATGAGTTCTTATTTGATAAGAGTGAAACAAATGCTCATCATAAATCAAATCAATGTGGAAAAAATTATACTTAGGCTGAACTGTAATAATTTCTGAGGCCAAATCTAAGGTGCCAGAACCACCAGAACTTTTCAACACACAGGGTGAGTCACTTTTTTTAAAAAATGAGAGTTTTGGAATCTAACAAGGAGTACAGCAGTATAAAATTTGAAAAGAACTTCAGAGAAGGATGTAGATGTTTTAAACAGCCAAGGGCAGCCCCATTAGAGCAGTTTAACAAAGATATGCTAAGAAGATAAAGAAAGTATTGAAAGTGGAATGAGACTCTTTCAGTCAAATGCACAAAACACTCAATTAGAAGTTCCTACTGAGAGACAAGCCCACACTGAGGGGATACAGCCTACATAGGTCTAAGCAGTGTCTCCTGTCTAAGCTGTCACTAGAAAAAGACACAGAAAGAGTAAAAAGTGCTCTTTCATGGAAGCCAAAGGAAAGTGTGTTTCAAGGACATGGAAGTGGTCAATAATGTAGAATGTTGCTGTGATGTAAAGAAAGATGGGAGCAAAAAAAGTCCCTTAGATATAGCAAAACAGAGATCCAACTTGACTTAGTGAGGCCCAAATAAAACAGGTGTGTTTATACTGTTTGATAGACTTGAGGAGTTGTACACCAAGTAAGTTATAGGGGATAACAAGAAGTAAAGCATCAGGGTTTTTGTTTGTTTGGTTGGTTTTTTTGTTTTGTTTTGTTTTGTTTTGTTTTGTTTTGTTTTGTTTTGGTTTAGAAAGAGTCTCGCTCTGTTGCTCTGTCGCCCAGGCTGGAGTGCAGTGGCGCAATCTCAGCTCACTGCAAGCTCCGCCTCCTGGGTTCACGCCATTCTCCTGCCTCAGCCTCCTGAGTAGCTGGAACTACAGGCGCCCGCCACAACGCCCAGCTAATTTTTTGTATTTTTAGTAGAGACGGGGTTTCACCGTGTTAGCCAGGATGGTCTCGATCTCCTGACCTCATGATCTGCCCGCCTCGGCCTCCCAAAGTGCTGGGATTACAGACGTGAGCCACCGCTCCTTGTGGAATAAAGCATCAGTTTTGATACGCCAAAGCTATCTTTGAATCCTGTCCTCACTTCTTAACAGCACTGTGACATGGGGTAAGTTTCTCTCTTCTCTAAGCCTCCATGTACTCATCTTTAAAATGAAGATAATAGAAATCCTACCTGCTACACTTACTGTGAATATTAAATTAGATAATATATGTAACAGGTCAGGTAGAGCACCAAATCAATAGTAGGAGCTAAATATACTAAGTAAAAGAAAATACCAAAGAATGACAGATCAAGTTTAAAAATGTCGAAAAAAAATCAAATTTTTCAAATAACCATTTCCAATGAGATAGCTACTATAAATATAGATACTTTATCACATAATTAAATCGATGACAATTCTCTCTCCTGCAAATGAATTTAAAGTGGTGAAGACTTTATAGGGCTATTAGGTTGGTGCAAAAGTAATTGCAGTTTTTCCGTCACTTTTAATGACAAAGGTAATGGTAAAATGCCTTTACTTTTAACATTAAGAGAAATTCCAAAATAATTACTCTTTTGCTAGAATCAGAACTTAGGTTTTTTTTCCTCAGCGCGTGCAAATTCCTACTGTTAGCTCCAAGAAACAAATACACTTTTCTGTATCAGATGTTATATTATTTGAGATGGATGAAGGCATGTATGAACCAAAGGGATTTTTGAGCTTCCATTTGAAATGAAAATCCTGACTTCAAATATTGTAACTGCTGCTGATTTAACATTATAAAAATGCTGTCACTATACAAAAAACTTTGAACTGACACATCACCAAAGGTGATAACAAATGAACAAATAAATGAATTAAAATATACACATCAAGGAAATATAAATTAACACTGTGAGGTACTACCACATACCAACCAAAATGGCTACAACTTAAAAGGTAGAAAATAACAAGTATTGGTGAGAATGTGGAGCAACTAGAATTCTCATGTGCTGCTGGTAAGGCTATAAATTGGTACAACCACTTTGAAAATAGTTACTCAAACAATTTATGTGATCTAACAATTCCACTCCTTAAGTAATACCCAACAGAAATTCATATATATGCTTACCAAAAGACACATACTACAAGATTTAGAGTGGCAGTGTTTGTAATACTGGTTGAGTATTCCTTAGCCAAAATGCTTGGGACCAAAAGAGTTTCAGATTTGTGACGTTTTTGGATTTGAGTTATGTGTATTATATATACTTATTGGTTGAACATCCCAAATCTGAAAATCTGAAATTCTCCAATAAGCATTTATTTTGAGTATTACTTTGGCAGTCCGGAAGTTTCAGATTTTGCAGCAATTTTTTTTGGATTTTTTTATTTGGAATACTCAACTTTTAGTTCCAATAGAATTAGCCGCATGCCCAACAGTATGAATGGACCTCACAGAGAATGTTGAACAAAGGAAGTTAGATAATAAAGACTACGTATAATATGACTCAAATAACACAAAGTGTAGGAATAGTCAAAACTATGTTTTAGAAGATAGCGATAGTGAAATGGAATGTAAGAAGGGAGATTCTGGTGTGTTGGTAATAATCTGTCTCTTAATAGGGGGGCTGATTGCGGGGATATGTTTAGTTGTGAAAATCCTGCAATATATACATTTATATAGGTGCACTTCTCTTTATGTGTATTACGTGTCATTGAAAGTTGTTTAAGAATATTGTCAACATAGCTATACTTAACAATTCAAAGGTAATTTTTTGAAAATTTGTGTTAGCCAACTTTACAAAGTTATTTTAAAATGAAGACAAAAGAGATCTGAATAGCATAATTCACATTCAAAACTCAAGTTATTTTTCTATTCTCAGAATTTATATAACTTATATAATGAAGGTAAGGGAAATAGCTAGTAAATACTGAACAAATCCATTCTTTCATTATTCTCCATTCCTATTTTCTATTCCCAGGATTTTGAATTGGCACCTTTCTTATCCAGTGTTTTAACAACAAAAGACAATAAAATTCAATAAAGTATCTATTTTTTCAAACCTTAATTGCTTTGGATGATACTGTCTTATTAGAAAAACATCAATACTTATGAATAGTTTTTGGGCACTCCTAGGTCAACTATTCAAAGTTGACACTGTATACAAGTATCTGCTAAAATTAACTGTGGATGCTGGACAGAAACAAATATCTTTGTACACTTAATTTTGTTTGTATCTATGATATTTCATAAATTAAACATTTATAATTAAAACATTTTATGTAACCAAAAATAATCTGTATAATAAGCATTGTGTTTCCTAATTAATCAACTGTGTTCTATCTAATTAGTTTTGAAAAGCAAGCAAACAAAAATTCTGTCTTCCATTTTATTTTGAAATCATTGCAAAGTTATGCTTACTACCAGTGAAAGTCTTCCAAGTTACAACACTTAAATCACCCCTTCAAAGGGGTATTCCTGCTTATGCTCTGGCTCAAGAACACATTTCTATTCCTTGTTTCTTTCAGTGATTCCTTAAAAGCCAGATGACGTGTCTGTGTTAGTCATTGGGGACTGCTAAAACAAAATATCATTAACTGGGTAGCTTATAAACAACTGAAATTTTTCACAGTCCTGAAGTCTGAGAAGCACAAGATCAAGGTGTCAGCAGATAAGTGTCTGGTGAGGGCCCACTATATGGCTCATAGCTGGTGCTTCTGTGCTATGTCCTCACATGGTGAAATGGATGAAAGAGCTCCTTTGGACCTGTTTTCTAAAGGCACTAAGCCCATTCATGAGGGCTTTGCCCCCATGATCTAATCACCTCCGAAAGGCCCCACCTCCAAACAGGGGGATTAGGATTTCAACATATGAATTTTGGGGGATATAAAAATCCATTTGGGGGTTAGGGTTCCAACATAGGAATTTTGGGGGATATAAACATCCGATCATAGTGATGTTTAAAGCCTGACATGATCAGTGGGCTCAAACAATTATCATAAGGATCAAGTTTGATTCTTAGCTCCACTTTTCTCCATTTTGGCTTTATTTTGCATGGAAGACCTCTGGTAGGTACATGACATCTATATTGACTCCCAATCTTCCATCATTCCAGTTTCAAATTCTATGGAAAAGGGAAATAGCTTCTCTCCTATAAATTCCAACAAAAGCTTAATTCCATCTCATTGGCTGTGCTTGTTGTAAGTGCCCAGCCTAAGTCAATCACCAAAGCTAAGAAAAATGTCATATACTAATAAACCTAGGCTTGAGTTATTGCATGCCATCTGCCTAGAATGAAAGTAGGAATCCTATTCAAACCTTATGGATTAAATGTGGCAGAAGAGACAGATGGATCTTCAAATCATTATTGGAAGTTGAATGTATAGATCCTGGTCAGCCAAAATCTCATAAATGTATTATACACATTCTTTGAAGTAGCACAAACATTTTTACTCCCTTTTTTTGGACACCTCTATGAAGTATTTTTTCAAAGGGGTATATTGGATTTATTTATAACATTCTGGTTCTCTGAATGTAAATATTAGTACTATAATAAAAGCACCAACAATAGTCACCATTTATCAATTATTATTTACCAGTTAATATTCCAAATACTCCACAATCATTGTTTCTTTTAATCCCATACATCTATAAGATATAAATATTATCATTATTTTATATGAGGAGACCAATATTCAGAAACCCTAAAAATAAGGTCTGGGGTTTCATGGCTTTAAAAATTTAAATTTAAATTGAAAAAATTTACATTCTGCATCTAAGCCATTTTGACTCTATATTCTAGGATTTTAGCATATACCATACATAATGGCTCTTAAATGTTTATATTTAAAGAAAATCACCTTTTAAGGCAATAGACAAAATAAGTTACAATATCAGGATGGTTCCTAGTATAGGATATAATCTGGACTTGAAAATTACATACTGATTCATTTCCTGTATTTCATAATAGTACAATTTTTTCTTCTCAAAAGGGAAGAAATTTCAAAATATTATTTTATGACAGTAGAATAATTTTTAAAAAAGAACATTATAATTCTTACAAAATGTTAAAATCTAGAGGGTTGTTCTTTTTAAAACAAGGCACTCAGTATATAAGTTTAATATTTGCCTCTGATTTTTTGCATTTCCTTCTCTTAATCATCCCAGGTGCTTCCTCTCGATAACTTAATCCAATAGTTCTAATCTTTTCAGGATGCAAAAATCCTAGCATATAAAATTATGCTTGCTAACACACAGGAAAAAAAGTTTTAAAACAAGCTATTAAGGGTATATTACTGTGCTAAGGACTTTGCATGGAATTTTTTCAAACATGAGCCTAGCATCAAAGTCATGTTATGACTTGTAACTCAAACTTCAATGTCAGCCTGTACATGATTATAATAATTAAATAGTTTTTAAAAAAACTTGGCTTTTAATCTGCTTCACAGAATTGTTAGAGCTAAAATCCCTTCCTTCTTCTGAAATAATCTAGGGAAATATATATATTCTCCTTTATGATCTTTACACTTTACTGATTTCCCTGGTACCAACATCCACTGCATTTGCCAGTGGTCTAAAATAATAATACCCCACCATACTCCAGAGATCTATAGGTTCTTATGCGGAGACAGGCCTTAGCAGTATATATTAACCTTGTTAATATTGTTCCTTTGATATAGACAAATTTTAGTAGATAGCTCTATGGAACCGGATGTTAAAAATAGTAGGGAAAAATTGATTCAGAATTGATGGACTTTGATTATCAGAAAATACTTCATCCAAGTTAGCTTAACTGGACATTTTGAAATTTATAGTTTCATACTTACTGGCCCAAACTTTCTAATGTAAACAGAATGGTCTCTGCTGCTTCTGCAACCCAAATTTGTTTTGGGGTCTTATCTCAAACTATGTTCTCCTCTCCCTATCTCTTATCTTTGTTAATTTTTTAAACAAAATATTACTTATGAAAATTAGGTGGCCTTCAGATATCCTTAGCTATTAATGAAATCATTTGAAAATTATTAGAGCTCAATAAACTATTGTTGATTAACTGTAATAAGAATTACACTTGTAGCTATGAAAATAAATACTTTCCATTTTAGTCCAAGACATAGATATCTAAGAATTTAAAAGAGGGCAAATAAAAATGGGGTAATAGAGTATAATTTTTCACTTAATCATGATTCATGCAGGAAATATATATATATATATTTATATCCATAAATACATTTTTACATAAATATAAATATATATTTTTTACTGAGTTTCAAGTACTAGGTACTTGAATGGGCTTTGGATAAAAAGCAAGTGAAAGAAATATGGTCCTTATCCTAAGGAAACCTAGAATCTTCACAGAATGGCCTGTGGAAAGGCAGGCCCTAAAACAGAAATAAGCATGATTTTGTAGGATGTACAATAAGCCAAGATAGACTTCTTAGAATTACTGGCAAGTTATAAAAGATGATGCTGGTAAACTTACAGAAGACAGTTTATATGGGAACTCTTTAATATAGTGAAGAAATTTGTTCTTATCCAAAGAACTATGGGAAACAATTTAAAAGTTATAATCAAGGGCATGACAAAATAATATCTACCTTTTTAATGATTACTTCAGAAACCACCTAGAGAATCAACTAGAATGGCCAAGATAGAAGGCAAGGAAACTCACTAAGAAGACATTGCAGTTTTCCAGGTCAAAACTGATGAGAGTTTGAACTACAGCAGTGGTGATAGAGGTATTGAATAGTGAAAGGAATTGAGGACTATCTATGAGGTAGAATCAAGAGGACACAGTGATAGGTTGAACAAAGAGGTAAAGTGGAGGCGATGTCAAAGGTAAAATAGTTTCTTGCCTTTCGGTTGAATTGAAAGTGATGATGTTCATTGAGAAAAAACTACTGGAAGAGTAGAATTTTTTTGGTTTTGATGTTGTTTTCTTTTTTTATTTTGGCATGTGATATAGTTTGAATATTTGTCTTCTCTGAATCTCATGTTGAAATTTGATCCCCAATGTTGAAGGTGGGACCTTGTGGGAGGTGTTTGGATCATGGGCTCAGATCCCTCATGCATAACTTGGTAATAAGTGAGTTCTTGCTCCATTAGTTCCCAAGAGACCTGATTGTTGAAAAGAGCCTGGCAACTCATCCCTTCCCTCCCTTACTCTCTCCACGTGATGCCTATTGCCCTTCACTTTCCACTATGGGTGGAAGCTTCCTGAGGTCCTCACCAGAAGCAAATGCTGGTGCCATGCTTCTTGTACAGCCTGCAGAACCATGAGCCAAATACACCTCTCTTCTTTATAAGTCACCCAGCTTCAGGTATTCTTTTATAGCAACGTAAATAAACTGAGACAGTATGGAAGAGGTTAAGGTTATTTATTTTGTTTTTAAAAAGTTGAATTTAAGGAGCCTTTGAGTTAGCCAAGAGCCAGTTTTGATTGGACAATTAGATATATTTTCCTGCAGCAAAGAGAGAAGATGAAATCTGGGGGAGATGGGGCCAGATGAAGCAATAGGCACAAATGCAACCAGCTGGGTAAAGCATATAGTACAATTTGTCATATTCCTTACACATTTTTGGCTCTCTTACTAAACTGTCCTATCTTAGAAATTTTTACATCAGTCATATTTGATATAGGGTAATGCAGAATGGTTAAAATATATGGAGATGACTTGGAAAAGGATAAAAACCCCTATACGATTGGTATAATTACAACACTGTTCCTCTAACGGATATTTTTCAGAGAGGTAATACTTTGGAATTTATTGTATTTGCAAAAACATCATTGAATAATTTCATAAAGTGTTTTTAAAAAGGAGCTTTGTAGGACTAAATGTCTGGAATGACTAAAAGCTAGTTAGAAATAGCAGTAGAGATTATATTATAACATTTAATAGCAGTGACTTCATGATGGATGACTAATTCCTTTCTTCTATCTAATTATTATCCACCTTCTCACAAAGGTTTCTCCTTTACAGAAAAGTAGAGGGTGGATTTCTGCAAGCAATGTGCAAAGAAACTTGAAACAACAACAAGATAACCCAGGACAGCCCTTACCTCACAGTGGGGAGGAGTGAGCAACAAAGACAACAACAACAAAAAACAGCTCATCATCTTGTTATTAATTGCAACTCTGGTGCCTTGGATATGCCTGATTGAAGACAAGGGACTTGAAGGCCAGCCTATAAACATGCTATATTCTCATGGAAAACCCAATACTTTAATGGCTGTATTTTTGTGGTTTATTATTTTATTGATCTCAAAGGAAAACCTGCAGCAAAAAAAGTTGGTGCATTTTCTTCTATTATGGAAAATTTCTCCAGTTGCAGAAATAAAGTCCCAACCTCCCCAGTCACCCGGTTTCAGATTGTACACATTGATTCCTTAACAAAAAAGCACCATTATATGGTACAATAAAAGTGAATTTTTAAAGATTTATATTTTTGTGGTTCTTTTTAAAATCCACCAGAAAAATTCTGGTAGAAAATAATCAGTGGGGAATGAATCATTATCTATATTTTTTCACTGTGGGTAGGACACTGATGTAACAGAGATTTCTGGATGTCATGTCTCCAAGCAAAATAAAGTTGTCAATAGGAACTTTTCATGACATTCATTTCCCCTTTCTTTTTAGTGCTGTTTCCTACTTCACAGTGACCTGACCCTAAGGTACTCATGCTGCCCTGTATCTGCCTGGGAATATCAGAATAATTTATCACCCTCCATCCTTTCCCCATGAAACACAAAATTTCGTCCAACAAATAAAACAAGTTTAGACGTGGTTTCTGTTTCTTACTGGAACTTTCATAAAAGCTTTGACAAATTTCACCAATTATTATTAATAACCAATAATGGCTAATGTGTTACATTTCCCACAGAAATTTGCACCAAACTATGTCTCCCAATTTCCCAGCGCCCCCCCCACCCAAACACACACATACAATATGTATTAGGGTTCAGAACTTCAAGTGGGTAGACTATGCTAAAGCTGGAAATGGAAACTCAAAGTTGTTCACAGGAAGAGGAAAAGTAACCTATAAATTTATTGAAAACGTGTGTACTTCCCTATCCTATTTAAATATCTTCATCCCTAGTTATTGGAGAATTGACAGATTAAGGATAATTGCTGGACTCCAAGTTCCTTGACCTCCTCATCTCCAAAGGGCTTTTCTTTCATTCCAGCTCAGTCGTACACCACCATGACCATATCTGTGGCCTTGTCACCACAAAAACTATTTTAAGAATTTAGTTTTTGGAAAACTGTTTCTATTTTCTCAGCTTACCTAAATAAGTACTCCTATATGAGCAATTCTTCACCTTCAATAAAGATCTCAAGTTCATTGACCTTGCTTCCACATGTCCTTACCTTTCCCTTTACAGTTTACATCTCATCATTATACTCACTCCCTTCAAAAAATCTTTAACTCCTTTGCTCCCTTCTCACTCCATTTCACTCATCTAGTGAACCCTAAGCCTGGTGAATCTACTAGCTCCCTACTCTGCCCTGGCACTCAAGCAACTACCATTGTTAAAATGCACGCACACACACACACACACACACACACACACACACATATTCATCCTTCTCTGGTTTGCATTACCATTTTTAAAGTAGTCATTTCGTATCTCTCTTTTTCACAAAACCTGTCCAATCATGTACTTCCATGACTCTTGCCACCTGCTTCCCTGAGAAAATAGAAGCAACCAGATAAACGGCAATTCTCTTACACCCTCACTCTCTTCTCATGCCCTTTGTCTTACCTTCCCTGCTCCTCTGAAACAGCCCCTTTTCTCTCTGTCTCACAGATGTTTCCTCTTGTCTTAGCCAGAAATTTCCTTTATTAACTCTGCCCTTTTATTCTGAATCCTAATTTCTTCCTCTCTCTTCTGAATCATTCCTAACTGCATACGACATATTCCAGTATCTTCTACTTAAAACTCCCTTTGCCTTCACATTTCCTTGCAGAAACCATCTTGTTACTCTGCTGAACTATCAACAAATAAAAAGTTCATATGTCATGACTTTTATTAGCTTCTTGGCAGTATCAGCATTGTTTATTTTTTCTTCCTTCTGGAAAATTTTCCTTCTCATGGTAATGTCCCCTCTCCTGATTTTCTATCTCATCTATGTATTATAGTTGCTTTCTCTTTCTTGCTGTTTCTAACTCCTATGCTTTACATCTAATTATGAGAGTTTCCTACAGCTCCATACCATGCCCCTATTTTATATTTATTTTAACGTATCTAAACTCTTTCCCTAAATAACGCCATTAAGTTCTGTGGTTCAAAAATCTATCTATACACAATGATCTTCAAATTATGGTATTCAGTCATGGCATTTCCTTGAATTCTGTATTCAGATATCTATTTGAAAGTTGTGCCCACTCGCCAAGGTAGGAGTTCAGATCTCACTGAAGTTGTGCTAACGACCCACTACATATCAGAGAACTTCACTGGGTAATCCCGGCCACAGATGGCACAGCCATTTGACAGAGAGATTCTTCAGTCACAGATGAGCCATAGCCTGTGTACAGGCAAGCCAGCATGCAGAGCAAGTCAGAGCAGTGCGGTGGGCAGGAGGCCTAAAGCAACAGTTGCCTGCATCAGGAGAGCTGCAAGAGAGTTATCACTAAGCCAGGCCAGGTCTATGAGGTCATCAAAAGACGATGCATCCTATGTGCATGGCTGGGGCAAAGAATCACAAGATGCCCTCACATCCGTGCTACTAATCAATGATGCAGTCTCTAAAAACTGCAAGGGAAATCCCTTCTTCCTGAAATGTCTCTCCAGTGCCTTGTACTGAGAATGCTTGACATCATGCAATGTGTTTAAAGGAGCACTTCCCATTTAGTATGGGAAAGCAAGAAGCAAATTGTGATTTTAGAATAAAAAATAAACTGATACATACTATCAGTTTTTATTATTATTTTAGACAGGGTCTTGCTCTGTGGCCTAGGCTAGAGTGCAATGACACATTATAGCCCACTGAAGCCTCAACCTCCCAGGCTCAAACAATCCTCCCATCTCAACCTCCCTAGTAGCTGAGACCACAGGCGCATGCCACCACAATGAGCTTTTTTTTTTTTTTTTTTTTTTTTCCCCTACAGACAGGGTATCACTATGTTGCCCAGGCCAGTCTCAAACTCCCGAAATTAAGTGATGATCCTCTTGCCTCAGCCTCCCAAAGTGCTAAGATTACAGGTATGAGCCACTATTCCTGGCCTGGCATACTATCTTAATGTGACAATTTATAAATTTTCTTTAGACACATTATTATTTTGCAAACTCATATTTCTCATACTGTAAGCTTCCATATGTCAAATATCATTTTATTCAAAATTTAAAACTTTTATTTCCCAACTAGAAATTGTATAAGAGAACAGACTCTGTGACTGACAGACTTGGGTTAGAACCTCGACTCTTCTATTTCCTAGTTCTCAAATATACATATATTTGAGATGGAGTTTCGCTCTTGTTGCCCAGGCTAGAGTGCAATGGCACAATCTCAGCTCACCACACCTCTGCCTCCTGAGTTCAAGCGATGCTCCTGCCTTGGCCTCCCCAGTAGCTGGGATTACAGGCATGCACCACCACACTTGGGTAATGTTTTGTATTTTTAGTAGAAACAGGGTTTCTCCATGTTGGTCAGGCTGGTCTCAAACTCCTGACCTTAGGGGGTCTGCCGCCTCAGCCTCCCAAATTGCTAGGATTACAGGCATGAGCCACCGTGCCTGGCCTAGTTCTATAATATTTTAAGTATCAGTTTCCTCTTCTATCATATAGGGCTAATGGTAGTAACTTTATCCTGTGATTTTTGTGGTGATCTCAGTATTTAGCACAGAGTCTGGCTTACAGAATGAGTTTAAGAAATGAGGCTCTAATGCAATGATTGTCACAGTGCCCTACATTGTGAGACCTTGCTGAACAACTTCAAAAATGAATCACATATTCTTTGTATTTCATATGTTGCAGTCTGTCAAATGGAAATCAACCTTTCATTATAATGAAACAAAAAATTTCATAGATCTTTTTTATACCATTTTGTCTTAACTGCAAAATCATTACCATTTGAATAGACTTCTTTTCTCTTTGATTTTTTCAATGAAATTTTATTTCCAGCTTTTTCAAACCTCAAAAGTATAATGTAAGAGATAGTCTCACTTTCTGTTAGAAATAAAAACTGGAATGTGTCTTGGATTATTTGCAAAACCATTAATGAGACACTACTGAAGCCCAGTGACATCTATAAAAATGAATGTATGAGCACTTAGAAGGGCATGCATTTTTAATGCACTGCATGAATAATAACAGCAGACTATAAATCCTACTGGAAATGGCAAAGCTTTGAATGTAGAAATCTTATCAAATATATTCCCTATTTTAGTAGAAATGAGCAGCCAGATAAATTTTCCTGGAAAGTGTAGGAAACTCTATGCCATGAAGGGGCTTATCCAGAGGAAAGAAAAGGAAGCTAGTAGAATAAATCCTAATCCCATTCATTTTCCAGTTTTGTCCACAGGTATCTACAATGAAAGAAGGGTAAATAGATAGATAATCATACTGACATAGAGAAAGACTAATTTTGAAAGCCTCCAACATTTTTTTAAAAATTTAATTTTTTTTTTGCATTAAGCTCCCTTTTATTTATCTGTGTTACCTTTTGTCTCTAAAACTCAACAGGCACCATATTCCATCTAGTCTATTTTTTAATTATACTTTAAGTTTTAGGGTACTATGCAGCCATAAAAAAAGATGAGTTCATGTCCTTTGTAGAGACATGGATGAAGCTGGAAACCATCATTCTCAGCAAACTATCGCAAGGACGAAAAACCAAAAACCGCATGTTCTCACTCATAGGTGGGAATTGAACAATGAGAACACAAAGACACAGGAAGGGGAACATCACACACTGGGGCCTGTTGTGGGGTGGGGGGAGTGGGGAGGGATAGCATTTGGAAAAATTTAAATCTTAAAAAGAAAACTTCACTTGGATGGAAATTTTATAGTATCTCCTTTTAATTCCCATTGCCATCTGGCATTAAGTTCCTGAAGATAACAATTATTTTAAGTAAGCATTGCTACCTTCCCTATGCTATCATCACCACCACCAGATTCTCCTACCAAAAGTAGAGAGAGAATGACTTTTCATTTTTTGGTCCCTGAAACTTTTATTCTTTAATATATTTTTATTGTAGAATAGTTAGAAAAGTGGCAAAGACAAAATAGAGAGTCCCTGTATAACCTGACCCTAATTGTTTGTGGTTGACATTTCCCTGGAGCATTAAGGTGAAATGTCACATTAACATTGAGTAATATGGTACTCTACTCAGAATGACCTTTAAAGGTAATAACCAAGCCAGCATTCTCTTGGTTTCTCTGTGGTATTTATTCTTTGTGAAAAGAAGTCATAAAAAAAAAAAGTGTGAATGGGGCCTTTCCAAAATTCAGTCAGCTTAATAGGCCTTATTCACGAGAAAGGTTGTATGAGTAGGTTACAGAATAAAATACATCTCATCTTTCCTATATGTTTCTTAATGTCTCAATTTAATCCTTCCTGGAGATTCCCTTTTCCTGTCCAAGTATCTTGTCCGTGGAAACTGAAGCCTCAGAACTAGTATGACACCATCTACAGTTCCAGCTGTTTCTGATTCCGGAAAGACAGCTTAAACCCCATCCTGATGAACATTTCGTGTGTATGTGGTCGGGGGGTGAGGTGAGAGGGTAAATCTTTACTCCATAAAGGTAATGAAGTAAAACTTCACACAAAAATATAAAAAAGAAGTGTTCAGAAAAGAATATTTATAATATAGAATTAAACTAGGAATATTCCGTCTAATTAAACAGTTACTGAATCTCAGTTTTTCCCCAAATTACCATATCAGTTGTAATGTGACTTAAGAGAAGGCAAAAATAGCAGCTGCTTCGAGGCTACCCCAGGTGGTGGCTTTGGCAAATGTCAGGGAAGGTGGCCACAGCTGTAGGGTCTCTGCACTTTTGGCCCATCTAGAACTCTAAAGAGATGAAATTACTAGGTGCTCTGTGGTTCTCCTCAAAGGCTTTCATGCCCTGTGGGACAGTGGTTAAGGATACTCTGTGTGTGTGTTTGAAACTTGGGGAAACTCAAGTAGCTGCCTAACGAAAAGTTTCACAGCTTGTGTTATCCCGCTATCAGATTCCTACCAATCTGCACTTGATAAACAATTGGGGAACCAGCCACCTTCTGTAATATGGGCAGTAGAGCAGGAGAAATGTAAGCTGAATCTATTTGTGTTTATTCTGACCCACCACTTAGTGCATTTGTGTTTATAAATTCCTGAGCATGTGGGGAACCTCAGTGATTCAGAGTTGCCAGAGGTTTCTGTATTGCCCCAGGCTCAAAAATACCTGCTGAGTCCGTCTTCTCATTCAGGTAAACAAATTGCTTTCTTAAAAATTAAAAAGAAATAAATAAAATAAACTTTTGAATATTTTGGACCATTAGACGTTCAAACCTTAGTGTTTATTATAAATTATTTTAAAGAAATCACTTTGTTCTCATACACTGTTTTGGAATCAGATACTCATTTAAATTATGTAATTTCAACTGTCAGCTCGCTGCATTCCTCTTGTGGTGTGATCATCTTGACATATGGGTTGTCATTTTATTGTTTAAACAAATATTTTCACGTGTTCCAAGACCATCAAATGTATGCTACATGCATAATTATTTGTGTCCTGTTCAACTATCCTGTTCTAGTGACTACATTAGAGATGTGGTAGTTCTTCTCTACCCAGGTATCTCCCTGAAGGATTTTCCGGGATAATTTTGAACACAGGTTATTTTTCCTGATATGGTGGTCTTTGACATCGTTCCCTCAAAAGCTGGAACACCCCTTCACTCTAGACACTAAATCACCTAGCAGGGAGCACAGAGATCAAGCTGGATCTTGAAGTGCTAATGATAATGGTCACCTGAGGTGCTCAAAGAATTAGATTGAATGGACCTGGTATTCTGAGGAACAGGAAAGGAAAGGGAGTGGGAGACCCAGGAAGGAAGGGCAAGTTTTACATGGAGGAAAAGAATGAAACAATAAGGGTATTCTGGAATTTGAAAATAGTGTGAGTGGGAGGTAGATCTGTAGTGCCACCAACTCAGCCCTAGTTCATACTTAGTACAAATTGCTTGTGAAAAATTGTCCCCTACCTATGGAATTCAAAGATAAAGAAATTGAGATAAACACAAAACAAACATGCAAATACATTTTTTAATCATCATAAAGCAAGAGAAAGAAATAGAAAGCACATCAAGATAAAATGAAGGCAGTGGCCTCGGAATTTTTTTTTAATAAGTGAAAAATATTCTAGCATTAAGGTTTTTTCATAAAGAAATAATGTTTAAAAGCATAAAGATATTCGTTATGAGTCTGAACATTATTTTTAAAACATTTTTAACAACTAACATATCCCATGGCGTGCAAGGAATTAGAGGGTGTTGAGACAGAAAAGTGTCCTGTCACTAAGTCTAGGGTTTTCTACAGTTTTTATAGTGTTAGCTCCCTAGACACGTCCCTTTTACCAGTATGTTTTTTTTAATACTGCTATGTCCTTTTCTTGTCCCACACTGCCACCCCAGTCTAGAAGTCTGTTTTCAAAAGAGAAGTGGGTTCATTATGCCTGGCGTTAATTTTTGCTACCTAAAACTTCTAAGCACTAACTGATTTTGTATAATTAAATGCAAGTGTAAATTTGGTGTCTGCTCATTAAACATATTAATTTAATTCTTATCTTTGCTATATACTGCAAATAACGGAAACTTATATTATGCTTTGAGGTTTTTAAAGTTATTCCTCATGCTTCATTTCATTTGATTTCAAAATAGTTGTGAAAAAAAGGTAGGACACCAGCTCTGTATTTTTTCCATAGGTCAGCGAGATACAGGGGGCAGAAATTCATGTGATACAATAAAGTGATGAAAATAAACTCTGAACCAAATTATCCTTTCACTTGTTCCATGAATATTTTCTGAATCCTCCTTTTTTGAGAAAAAGCAATAGAGAAAAGCAAGATGGTTATCACCTGGAAACAATCTCGTGAGGCAGAGTGTCATTGAATATAAAACTGACAGTACACAAAAGACTGTAAGGAAGAAAAACAGAGTGTGATGGATGTGAGTAACAGGTTGTATTAGTTTCCTATTGCTGATGTAACAAACCACCACAAACTTAGTGGCTTAAATAATACAAATGTATTATCTCACTGTTCCATAAATCGAAGTCTCACGTGGGTCTCAATGAGATAAAATGAAGATGTTTACAGGTCTGCATTCCTTCTGTGGGTTCTACACATAATTCCCTTTTCCTGTTTTTTTAATATTCTAAAGATTGCCCGAATTTATTGGCTCCCAGCCTTCTTCCATCTTACAGGCCAGCAATGCTGAATTGAGCTCTTCTCACCATCACCGTGAGCTCCTGCCTCTTCCTCCTTCTATTTTAAAGGAACTTTGTGATTACATCAGGCCCACCTGGAGAGTCCAGGATAATCTCTTTATGCAAGTTCAGCTGATTTGCAACCTCAATTTTATCTGTAACCTTAATTCCCCTTTGCCATAAAACCTAGAATATTCACAAGTTATAAAAATTAAGACGTAAACATAATTTGGGAGCTATTAATCTGTGTGCCACACAAGTGAACCAATTACTTCCTAGAGATCATTAGTTAGATGAAAGGTGGGAGTAGAATGACATTCTATGAAATAGCCCTAAGTCAAGGAAAACTGTGGCACATTTAAGAAAGTGATAGATGGACAATAAAGCTAAAGCAGACGGTAAATGGACAGTGAAGAGAAATGAGGTTTTGCCAAGGACCAGATTTTACAAGGCTTTGAAATACTTTCTGTTCATTAATGGAAAGGTTATGGGAAAATTAAGAGTAGATTTAAGCAAGAGAATAACATGATTATGTTTTTTTAAAAAGATTGTTTTGGCTTCAACGTGGAGACCACAGAGGAGGTCTGAGGGGATACTGCAGTCCTGGATGCTGGATAAAATGGAGGTTTGGATTAAACTGGTGACAGTAGAGATAGAACTGGTTGGACTTGAAAAAGATTTTAGAATTATAATCAAAAGGAAATAGTTGTTGATTTTTGATAGGTCCTTTAATCCAATGATTCTGGCACAAGTACCTGGGTGGGCTGAGGTTCAAAAGTGGAAGAGGGGCATGTATGATGGTGGGAGGACATTTACCTTAATTTGGGACTTTTTGAATAGTAAGTTTTATATGAGGCCCACTAGTAAGACAGTGAGATGGCGGTTTGATAAATGACTTTGGAATTCAATATAGCAGCCAAAGGAGGATATAAACCAGTGGCATACAGGTTGTAGAATGGTTAAAAAACAAGAACCATAACAAACAAACAGACAAAAAACATGGGCTACAATGATATAGATCACCTAGAACAGTTGTTCTGCACTGAAAGCAATTTTGCCTTTAAGGGTACATTTGGCGATGTGGGAGATACTTTTGATTATCACAACTGGGAAAGAGTATGCTACTGACATTTAGTGGATAGAGACCAAGAATAAGGCTTGGTAAACTTCCTGTAATATAAGGGACACACCCCACAAACACATAAAAATAATTTTCTGTACAATTCATCCATGTAACCAAAAACCACTTGTAACCCTAAAGCTATTGAAATGAAAATAAATTAATTGATACAAATAAAATAAAATAAAATAATAGTCTGGTGAGTCAATCATAGTCAATGTGTCAACAGTACCAAGGCTAAAAATTTTGTCTTAAAGAAAGAGTAAAGTTTGAGTGGAAGGACAATCAAGGACAGGGTTCTGAGAATTTCCAATATTTAATGGTTTTAATTAAACAAAACATGAGTAAAGGGGCATCCAAAGAGATGAAGAATTGAGTAGAATGCAGTATATCACAGAACAAAGTAGGTATTTCTTAGTGGATCATTAGTGCCAAATATTGCAGAGTCATCATTGTATATTGACCAATGGGAAGGGTCCTTTAATTTTGCTATATGGTGATCATTGGTGAGCTTTGGAAAAATGCCTTTAGAGGAGTGATGAGGGCAGAAATCATATTGATGTCATTTGGGAAGTGATTCAAATGAAAGGATAGGAAAGTAGTGAGTCAGAAAATGTGGGGATTTTTGTTTTGATAGAAAAGAGAGCTCCAAATAGAGGGTTAAATGGCAAAAGGCTTGTGCTCTCTCTGTCTCTCTCCAAGACTAAACAAATTAACAAATTTATATGCTAATGGAAGGAACCAGGAGAAATAGGGGAAGATCTATAAGAGAATTAAGGAAGTTGATAGTTTAAGTGTCTTGTTAATGAAAGATAAAATGCATTTATTCATTTTCATAATGATTCATGTATTCATCTAACACTTACTGAATGCCTATCGAGTGCCTTCATGAAAAGGTTGAACTTAGATAGGAGACACTCTTTCTCCACTGCAACAGGAGGAGAGGAGTAAGAAATTAATATGGAATCTGAACCACATATATAATTTATTGGGGCTTAGAAGTCATTTTATTCCAATCCTGGTGATTTTCCTCATCATTATCTACAAAGTGAAGGTATTTCATAATGATACATTGGCAGGGAAATTCTAGGAGGCATAGAAGAGACTATTACAGCTCTTGTTGCAAGTATGAATTATTTTATTCTAATATTGTACATTAAGAGCTCGTAATCCATTATATTTTGTCCTATATTACATAATCTATTTAAATACCATAACTTGTAATATTTTTTTCAATATTTTAATACAGGAATCTAAAACTACAAAATTATTATTTTTACTGAATATTACCATAGCAGCATTCCAAATAGACAATCAACATACATCTTTATTAGCCAGAACTGAAGAGATTTTATATTCAAAGCAAGCTTGCTTTATAATATGTTTCTATTTATATTAACATTCCTGAGACAGGCTCGGCGCGGTGGCTTACGCCTATAATCCCAGCACTTTGGGAGGCCAAGGTGGGTGGATCACGAGGTCAGGAGATCGAGACCATCCTGGCTAACACGGTGAAACCCCGTCTCTACTAAAAAAAATACAAAAAATTAGCCGGGCGTGGTGGCAGGCGCCTGTAGTCCCACCTACTCGGGAGGCTGAGGCAGGAGAATGGCGTGAACACGGGAGGCGGATCTTGCAGTGAGCTGAGATCGCGCCACTGCACTCCAGCCTGGGCTACAGAGCAAGTCTCCCTCTCAAAAAAATAAATAATAATAATAATAATAATAATAATAATAATAATAATAATAATAAAATTCCTGAGAGAAATACTTGCATAGCATAATCGATGTTTCATAGGTATCCAGGAAAGTTATGCAATTAGACCCTAGATGCTCCATCAACCATATATCACCATATAGAATATATAACTCTACATACTTCCATGGTTTGTGTTTCTTTCGCTGAAGGGGCAAGCATAACATTTAGTTTGTATGTTCTGTAGAAGATAAGTAATATTCTCAGAGTACCTGTGGCTGCATATATGCATGAGATGTATAATGTAAGGTCAGAATTGACCCCAGGATCTTACATGCATGTAACAAAAGGAAAATAGCTTATCCCTCCAGTGAAATAAATCACAGGGCTATAAAACAAAATTATTGATGTTAGGAGACCATCCAGTATTTTCCTTTTGTAAGCGATCTTTGGCATCCACTGAGTTTGACATAAAAAATTTGCCTGATATATACAGCACACATTTATTAGGGACCAGCTTAAATCTCAATAGCTCTATTAATTTCCTGCAATTTTTCTTTACCCCATATGTCTATATTTCTTAGTTACTATACTAATCATTGCCTTCGGACACCTTCTATTCTTTTTACTCAAACTTTTGTGTTAAATAATATTTTAATCATTCCTAGTCTCTGATGCCTAGCACAAGGGAATAGAATAATTTATAGTCAGTAAAATTTTGTCAGATGAATACATCCAGGTTTAAGAATGGTTCTATGTTTTGTATCAAAGTGAAAAATATGTTTTGAGAAAAATAGCAGATTTCCTGTAAAAAGGCTACAAAAAGTTAAAGGAAACTTCTGGCTTGAAAGGATACAGAGCTATAATTCACAGTTTATCAAGCAGGAAAAAAAGGCATAGAGGTTTTATGCAGACTGTGTCATTAGACTGCAGTACTTTTCTGTATCTTTCTGGTTGGTCATAATGTTCAAAAGAAACAGGGGAATACAGGGGAAACTTGAAACAGCAAATATGGCCTTTTATCTCATTAATTCAAAGTAGGAAGTACCAGGTCTCCTCTACTGGAAAGAACAATAAAAGACTTTTTGTAAATTACTTTTAAGGACCATCTGGAATAAATCATCCCAAATACCTATAATATATAGGGTCATGGACCAGCTCCAAGACATATTATTTCCAAAGTAGAAAAGTTAAATTAAGTTAGGATTATCAAAAGTCTATTTCTATATAGCAGGTGACTTGGGAACGAAATTCCTTTGAAAAGCTGGGATAAGAGACATTTCTTGAAGTGTATATTAGAATTCTCCAGAGAAACAGAACCAATAGGGTGTGTGTGTGTGTGTGTGCGTGTGTAAAGAGATTTGTTGTAAGAATTGGCTTATGTGATTACGAAGGCTGGCAATTCTAAAATTTGCACGGTAGGACAGTAGTCTGGAGAACCAGAGCGCTCATATCCCAGTTTAAATCTAAAGGCTTTCTGCTGTAGAACCAGGGAAGGTTGCTGTTACTGATGAAGCCCAAAGGTAGTCTGCTGGAGAATGTTTTGTTGCTCCTGGAAGGCTTATCTTTTTGTCCTATTCAAGCTTTCAACTGATTGGATAAAGCCTACCGTCATCGTATAAGGTGTCTTAGTCAGTTTGGGATGCCATAATAGCACGATACCATAGACTTGGTCGTTTAAACCACAAACACTTATTTTTCAGAGTTCTAGAGGCTGGGAAGTCTAAGGCCAAGGCACTGGCAAATCCAGTGTCTTGTGGTCTCATGAGGGGATTCTTTCTGGTTTTCAGATAGTCATCTTCTCATTGTATCTTTACATGGCAGAGAACAGAGAGAAGAGGCAAGCTCTCACATCTCTTCTTATAGAGAACTAATCCCATTTATGAGGACTCTACACTTACGACCTAATTACCTCCCAAAAGTAATTACCTACCAAAGGTATCTCCCAAGTTTATAGTTTACATTTTAGTGGTTTTCAGTGGAAGAGGATGATGGGAATTATGTGCAAAAGAAAAGATTCTCCTCCAACACATTGATTGGTTTTGACACTCCTGAAATTTTGTGAAAACTCATTGATTAAGATATTAAATATAATCAAGATTTCTACTAGCATGCAGGAGCTTATAAAGCATTGATTCTTTTCCTGTATTACATAACTTATATAAATATCAAGATACTTAATGGCTGTAATAAGATAAATTTTGAAAACAAAATATTTATGTTAAAATGACAACAGAGAACAGGGCATCCAAATTTTTTTCCCCAAGTAACTATACTTATAAAAAGTCAGGATGAAATACAGAAAGCCGTACTCAAGGAACAACTTGGTTTCAATTGAAAACAAGTGCACTGGAAAATACCACACTGTAGCATGGTGATTCTCAGCCCTCACTTTATATTAGAATCACTTGGGGAAATTTTTAAAAACTACGTAGCTGCTCAAGCTCACCCAAGAAGATTGTGATTTAATTTTTCTGTGGTAAGGCCCTGCATTATATTCTCAAAAGCTTTCTGGTTACTTTAATCTGCAGTCATGGTTGAGAACAGCTGCCACAGAATATTAGTCTCAAAACCCTAATTGTGAAAGTGAAGATTAAATTATTTTTTGGAACATAAAGTGGATTAAATAGTCATGTTCTAGCAGTTAAGAAAAACTTTCAAGAATTTATTTTAACATTTAGGAATTCAGGAAATGTGGAGACATAGATTAATATAAATCATGGAGAAAATTAAAGATATTTAATCTACTATTAGCCAATTCGCCTTCAAATAGTTTTGCTATAAGTCTTTAGAAGAAATACCTAGATAGAAAAACAATGGTCAGTGATTAAACACACACACACACACACACACACACACACACACACACATCAAAGTGAGTATCAACAAGCAAATCCCATTCTTGAACCTTAAGGAAAAAATGTCATAGTTAAAAATTTACTTAAGACAGGAATTAAGTCTGGAGCCAAAATTTAAATCTAGGCTTCTCTGGTTTCAACAGTATATTATATCATGCTGCTAATTGGCTTTTGAATTTCCTTCATCCCTTTGTCAGGTAATTGTATTGATGCTAAAGTTATCTTTTATTAACAAAAATGGGGGGTTCTAATAATCTATTTCAAACCTTTTCATTCTATAGATCCCCTTATACTTAAAACGTGGAGTTTCAGTTTTGCAAGATGAAAAGGTTCTGCAGATCTATTTTACAACAATGTGAATATACCTAACACTACTGAACTTTAAATATAGTTAAGGTGGTAAATTTTATGCTATGTGTTTTTACCACAATAAAAAACAAACAAATGATTAATAAAATCTTTAAAATTTAGAAATTTGTGTTCACACACCTTATGACACTAAAAGTTCTTCTCAATATAACCCCAGCATGGCTCTTTGGCCTCATGATGTGCTATGTAAAATGCTTCTACCACACAAAAATACTCATTCTTTTTAGATATACCTCACACATTTTTCTTTTTTATTCAAACACCCATATCTTTCTCTCCACTTGAAGCTCATCCTTCTCCCTTACCACCTGAACAATTTTTACTTACCCTCAAGACCTACTCAAATACCTTAGTGCAAGATATAATGACTCTATAAATCTTGGTGATTCATATACCTACTAGTCAACAAGAAATTACTTAGTGTCTATCATGTGTTTCATACTATGGAAAACAAAATAACTGCACTTTAACAGAAGGTAAGTTGGATGAATATATAACTAAGATGGAGAAGCATGCTAATATTCATTAAATTATATTAAGTGCTTCAACATGATGGAGCAGACATAAGTAAATATGAGTAGATATGAATAAATATAAGTAGATGAGATCACTGTAGTCTGGAGTAGTTTGAGGAGGAATAAAAGGGGAGGATAATGTTCTTTCTATTTACAAATCTATCCCAGTTCTTAGCATAATGTCTTACATATAGAATGGAATAAATATTTCTTGAGCGAATGAATGAAAATATGAATGAAAAGTAGGTCCCAAAGGTATGAGAATTAGTGGGACATTGCAGAACAAGCAGAATATACATGATATCATAATCAAGCACAAATGGATTAAGTCAGAATACCATGTACCCTGGCGCTGACAGTGATATAGTTCATTCTAGTACTATAATTAAGATAAAAATTGCGAGGTTTTGTCCTGTACAACCCAAATGAAATTACAAATGCGAGGGGAAAGAAAAAGTACTTAAGTATCTAAATGCCAAAAAGAGGCTGCAGACTATTGCAAAACTGTTAGTTTCCTATTTTGTTCCTATTGGTTTAAGAACAGAGATTTTTCTGCTATTGTTTTAACTTTTTTTTCTTACCTGTCCTACCTCTCATATACAAAAGGAAATTAATTCCCAACAATTTCTTGAGACAAATAAGGAAATAATAAAATCTGTAAGAAGGCATCTAGGAACAGGGGAATTCTAAACAATTACATGGAGCATAAAAATTAATTTGATGTTTCTCATACTTTTTGTTTTAGTTTCCTATTGCTGCCGTAACAAATTACCACAAACGTCCTGGCTGAAGACGATCTAACATATCACCTTACAGTTCTGGTGGTTAAAAGTTTAAAATCAGTCTCAATGGGCTAAAGTTAGATGCCAGCAGGGCTTTGCCTTCTGAGACTTTGGGAGAAAATCCATTTCCTTGCTATTTACAGCTTCGGGGGCTGCCAGCCTTCCTCATCTAGAGGCCACTTAGTCCATCTTCAAAATGCATCAGTCCAACATCTGCTCTGCCATCATATATGTTTGCTGAATCTAATTCTACTGCCTCCCTCTTTAAAGGACACTTCTGAATACATTAGACCAACCCAGACAATTCAGGATAATCTCCCCATCTCAAGATCACTAATTTAATTACATCTACAAAAGTTCCTTTTGACATTTAAGGCAGTATATTTACTGATGCTGAGGATTAGGGCATGGACCTATTTGTTGGGCCATTATTTAGCCCATCAAACTTCTGATAAGTTTTATATAAAGATTTATATTTGTATAAACTTCAGTCCAGTTGCTATTCTTCCCCACCTGCTGAAAAATATGTCTATTGCAATTCCATCCTCTTTATACATTCAGTTCCTCCAGTCATGGAGGATATAGAACTGTTTTCCCGCCACTGGCCTTCTGGTGTTTGCCGTCTTGGTCAGATATAAGCTCTGGCTTGAGTTGCTCTCAAACAACTGTTCACAAACCAAAAATGACCTGTGATATGGTTTGACTGTGTCCCCACCCAAATCTCTCTTGAATTGTTGTTCCCATAATCCCCACATGTCATTGGAGAAACCCAGTGGGAGATGATTGAATCCTGGGGGCTCCATGGCTGTTCTCATAATAGTGAGTGAGTTCTCATGATATCTGATGACTTTATAAGGGGCTTTTTCCCTTTTTGCTTGGCACTTATCCTTCCTGCTGCCATGTGTAGAAGGATGTGTTTGCTTCCCTTTCCTCCATAATTGTAAGTTTCTTGAGGCCTCCCCAGCCCTGCAGAACCATGAGTCAATTAAACCTCTTTCCTTTATAAACTATCCAGTCTTGGGCAGTTCTTTATAAGCAGCATAAGAACAGACTAATCCAACCTGTGTTTTCCCTGAAATCCTCTCTGATCCTAATAATCTCTAACTCATTCCTTTGTCTTATCTCCTTTATCCATTTCTGAGGAATTATTGTGGCTTGACTTGAGTCTTGAGTCCAAATATTTGCTTTACAACTAATACTGTGGATTTCATCTGTGGATTTTAATCGCATTTCAAAATGTGGATAATGGTGCCTACTATATCAGATAATGTGTGGATTAAAACGATGAGAAACACATGATACAGAGTGGATACTACATAAGTCTTAGTATCCTCATCTCTCCTGATTTATATTAATCCACTTTTAGATAAAAGTCAGAATAACCTATAATTAATTTTAATGTCTCTTTGTTCCCATTCACTGAGGTACATATTTAATTCTTAGATAATGCACCTATAGTTATTTTTCACAAAATCACCAATCTGTAATATGTATGCATATCCAAAAATCTATCCAGACTGTGTGTTAATAGAAGCCTTTTCTCACAGAATAAAATGTATAATTCAGATTATAATCCTTTCTGTAATAATCAAGCATTTAGCTACATACTATATATGTATTATCTTGATTCTTTCATATAAGCTGCAATACATAAGATACTTTTTCCTACTTTATTTAGTGTATGTTCTCTATTTCATTCAAAAATACTATTTGACTAAAAGATGAAATAATAAAAATCATTTTCCTAACCTTTAGATAACTCTTATTTTATATTCCCAAACTAGGTTGAAACAACAATTGGAAACTTAAAACTATTATTTTCAGGGTTTCTTTAACCAGCTCTCTCAGTTACTTTATTTTATTGTTCTCCATTTTCCTTTCTCAGTAGGAAATTCCCTGTGCCTGTTAATAAAAAAATTAAAATTAGAAAAAATGTTTTTTTGTTTCTTAGTCTGTGGCCAGGGTCCCTATTACCTGAGAATAAAAATCTATCCCTTCAGCAAATTAGTTGATTTAGGACTCCCCTCTCCCTCCATTCTCTTTTTTTCCAACTTCTTTTGGCAATCCATCTTACCTTACTTATTGTTCTTCCCTTTGGCTACCTATAAGTAAATGTGGCCTTGTTGAAAGATAGGTATTGCATACAATCTTTTCCTGATCGTTTATTATGGTCTCACCATGTACTCACCATGGTCCTAAACATACAGCACCTCAAAAGCTGGCTTGCAAAGCCAAATAGAACCTCTTTAAACAGAATCCAACAAGTCAGTATGGTACAATATGGGAACTCTGGAGAGAAGAACTTTGTTCCCTAAAGGAGGGAGAGGGTTGGAATATGATCAAAACGCTATTCCAGGGAGTCAGGCAGATTGATTCAATGGTTAGTGTGTCAATAGGAAATTTAAAAGATGTCTTCTCTGACAAACTGTGCTCTTCCTTGTTATTGGGCAGCAATAACATCTGGATGTGTTGTGAGAACACAGACCCATTTGTGCATGTGTAATATCCAACTGAAGAGGTTCTACCCCAACTCATGATAGTTTTGTTACCAAAACATCACAGGTTCAGCTTAGGTCCTGCTGCTTGCCACAAAGAAAGCCAACCACTGAGACAACAAGTATTGCCAGGGAAAAAGGCTTTAATCAGGTGCTGGGAGATCAGTCTCAAATCCAACTCTCTGACCAACTAAAATTAGGAATGTATATAGCAGGGAAGAAATGTAACCATGTGTGGGAAAACAGAAATTAGGAAAAGGAATTGAAATAGGAAGCAGGTGGTCAGTTAGGAAATCATGACAGGTAAGGGATCTGACATCTCATTGTCCTAATATAGTAACCTGGTGAGTTTCAGCTCCTTGATACTATCTGATGGATGCCTGATGGTTGGTTTCCTAAAAAAAGAAACTCAGATAAGACAAATGTAACTTTCTTAAGTTTTAAGACAGGAGGAGTCAGTTTTCATGTTTATTCAAAAGAAACCATAAACATTAGTTATATGGTACAGTAGGTTGATTTCGGTTTTGCAAGTAGCTTTAGGAAGAAAGAATGAGTTGCTAATATTGCCTCGGGGCCAAGAATAGACTCAATATTTAGACTAAGTTAATATTTTAAAGGCTGAATTGTCTTTCTAAAATCTGTTGTCTTTGGAAAATGATAATCAAATCTTTGAACTGCTCTGATCTCTGTATGTTACTGCAACAGCAAAGTTGTAACATTAAATCATCGACTTTGGAGACAGTCCTTCTAATGTGATTATTCCTATTCAGATTCCAAATGGCATTATGAGCTATCAGTATAACCAAGCTATTCATTCCCAGAAAAGAAGACATTTTATTTTGAATTAGTTAGTAGTCTGTGTTTCCTACAGTTTTGTGCATAAAGTATGTTTGTTTTCCATACTGAAAATAAAAGAAACCCATGTATTTTTAGTGTCCATGAGAGAAATCAATAGGAATAAGTCTTCTTCCTCTTGCTCAGGATATGTCCTTCTATTCCCTTTTAGGGTCTCAGGATGTGTCACTCAGTCTCCCGGGAGCCACTCAGTTATGCCCTGAAACTATGGGTGTTGACGTCTTCAAGTTGCAATCTGCTGTTCCATGGTGGCTACCAGGTGTCAAAGGTATACCTCAGGACAACATAGGTCTTAGTTGTGGCTTTGTTAATTTCAGTCATTTGATTTCCTCATGGCCCTTCCTCTTCTATATGCCTCTGCTCCTTATTTTGCCAACCACTTGGACTTAGCTGTGGTACATCACCAGTATAATGATTAGCAAAACAGTAAAATTGGATTTCAGGTTTTTCTGTGTCTATTTTTTTTTCTTTTTCACAGAATTAAGTTGCTTCTGCTCTTTACAATCACTTTTCTTCTAACATGTTCCAGGTAAGCCAGAATCCTAATATCATACAATAGATTATCCACACTTTCGTTTTTTCTTTTGGAGACAAGGTTTTGCTTTGTCACCCAGGCTGGAGTGTGGTAGCAGGAATAGCGCTCACTGCAACCTCAAACTCCTGGGCTCAAGACAACCTCCTGCCTTAGCCTCCTGAATAGCTGGGACCACAGAAACATGCCACTATGCCCAGCTAATTTTTTGTATGTTTTGTAGAGATGAGGTCTCCCTATGTTTCCCCAGGCTGGTCTCAAACTCCCAGCTCAAGCAATCCTCCTGCCTCAGACTCCCAAAGTACTGAGATTACAGGCAACATCCACTGCATCTGGCCCAATTAGCCACACTTTCAAACACTTGACATGCATATATAATAAGAGTATATTTTTAAATTTTTTTCAGGTCAAGGGTAAAACTTGCATTTTCTGTGTTACGAGCATAGGTCTCTGTATTAGAGACCTGTTGTTGACAGAAACAGAACCCACAGGGTGTGTGCATATGTTATTTCTCATAAGGAATTGGCTCACATAATTACAGAGACTAACAAGTCCCAAGATCTTCAGTCAACAAGCTGGAGACCCAGGGCAGCTGACGATATAGTTCCAGTTTTGAAAATCTGAGATCAGGAGAGCCAATTGTATAGTTCCAGTTCAATGCTTGTAAGCTCAAAACCCAGGAAGAGCTGATGTTTCAGTTCAAGCACAAAGTCAGGAAGAAAATAATGTCCCAGTTTGCAGGTAGACAGAAAAAAGGAGTTCTTTCATACTCACAGCAGGATGAGCCTTTTTGTTTTATTCTGGCCTTCAATTGAATGTATGGAGACCACCCACCTTATGGAGGACATCTGCTTTACTCAGTCTACCAATTTAAATGTAAATCATATCCAGAAATACCCACACAAACACATCCAGAATAATGTTTGACCAAATTTCTGGTCACACTATGCCCCAGCCAGGTTGACATGTAAAACTAACCATCACAGTCTCCTGTTACAGAGGACCAGTCTGGAAGTAAGAAAATAAGTTGTATTCCTAAGTATGAAATCTTGTGTATATCATTTCTCTCAGCCTCCAATTTTTCTGCAGTAGACAGTAGTGTAAGCCAATTATGTCCAAACTGAGTATGTGCAATAAATACCTCTCACTCTCACTGCAGACAATATCTCATTTTACCCTCACAACTCTGAGCTATTTATTTATCACATTACAGAGGCAAAGACTTAGGGTCAGAGAGGTTAAGTAACTTAAATAATCCCTAAAACCCATGTAAACTTTAGAAACTTCTGCTTCCAAGTTAGCAACTAAGAAAAAGAAAAATTGATTTGGAATCGGCCACAAACCCCTCACATGCAGAAGAGTGACAAGGACTCACTGGCGTTTCCACTCTCCTTTCATGATATTCTGGAAAGAAGGTAAATGAAGGTTTATTGTAAGACTCTCTCATTTGAATTTTTTCCCCAATGTACAAAATGGAGGGGAAACTCCTTTAGAAAGAGAGCACAATCATAACATTTTTATTATTGTTATTTACTAGTTCCATGGAACTGACATCTGCAAAGTGTAACTAAATTTATCTTTTACAGTAGTAGTGTTTATAGTCATTCTGAGTGAAGTAATGAAATGACACTTAAGAATTATGACACTGACATAATATTAATGAACAATTTGCAAGGAGGCATAAGAAGTTTCAGCATCATAATCCATAACCCATGTCATCTACTGAGTACTCTCCTGTGCCGCCTTTTCCACTGATAATCATCAAAATTGGTTTGTCTGTTGTAAGCCTTATTCTCTTTTCGGATATAGAAAAGCATAGCTGAAATATTAACAGTACGTGGCCCTCTCTGTTTCTCCTTATCCTTTTTGCTCATTACAACCATAGGATGTCCCTCAAAACAGAGCCAACTTCAGTAAAACAACAAATAATAATAATACCTTGATATGGCAGTTTGTGAAGTGCAGGAGTTTGAGGTTGCAGTGATTATCCCCTTTATCACTGATAATCATCAAAAAATAGATAGAATTACCATACACCAATATCTTGATGCCCTTTGTTCATGTCATACTGGATGCTGAGAAATCTCTCTCAACAAGCCCTCCACTTAGCTTTGAATAACTTCCAATGTGTACCTAACAAGTTCTTCACGGATTACTCACGATATCACTATTTGACACAGAAATTAAGACAAAATATGCAACCACCTTTAACAAATATGTGTATAAAATACTTCAATGAAGAATAGAATGTCAATGTTTTAAGAGATAAAAGTCCAGAAATTCATCTTATTTCTCTACCATCATAAAGATACCTAGCATCTGGCCACTTATAAACTTTACTGCAACCATTTCATCTAAGCCACAGTAAGAATCATTGCCAAAGCTTTCTAACTGATTTTTTTTTCCGTCCTTACTTCTCTAATAAGTAAGTTCTCAAAACAGCAACCAGTTTCCTTGCTGTTAGGTTGGTTACAGGTAAAATCATGCTACTCATTTTCTCAGAAGCTGCCAATGGTTAACCTTTCACTTGTTAAATGGGGAGGCCGGAGGGGATCACTGGCTGCTCAGTGACTTCCCCAGGCTCATATGCTCTTCTTTCCCCTCCTTCTCTTTGTTTTAGCCACTTTGACCTTCTTGCTACTTCTTGAACACAACAGGCATCCTTCTACCTCAGGGGAATTGCAGTCAGCTTGAAATGTTCTTCATCAGATATCCACCAGGCTCAGACCTCACCCCTTTCACGAGTTAACCTTCTCACTGCCGTCTGATTTAGCTATTATTAAAGCTGCATCACCCCATCCCCATTTGCCTGGTTTACTTTTGCCCTCATAGTACGTAAGAACTTCTCATGTAATATATGATGTAATTACTCTATGGCTTATCCTTTTTCTCCCATTAGGATGTAAGCTCCCTAAAAGCAGTGATTTTTGTCAGTTTTGATCATTGCTGTATCCTCATCATCTAGAATAGTGCCTGAAACAACATAGGCTTTGAATAAATATTTATTGAATGAATTAATGAATCAAACAAAAAAAAAGGTAGGGAGTATTATCTACTCACTCTGAAATATTTTCAAGCTGTTAAGTTTTCTGAGTTTTGCTGATCAGGCTTCTACATGAGCTGAAGCTATAGAAAGGCCTTGGCAACCAGACAGGCTCCAAATGTCCTTTTGTCTTATCTGACTCTCTACTTACAAAAATATAATCATTTCTCAGTTCCCTCAATGTTACTTTCCCTGATTTTCCAAAGTATTTTTTTTTACTTTTTTAATGTTCACCTGGATACACTGAATTAACACTTTGTTTTTATTATCTAAGTCCAATAAATTGTATACCACGCTCTTTATTTTCTGTTTACTGCCCAAACATGCATGAATCTTCACCCAACGGTTTACAAATTGTAAAACCTTAGACACATGTTAAACCTCTCTGAGCTCCATTTTTTTTCAGATTTAAAACTAGAATACTAATACCTATGTTTCATAACATTCTTGAGGATTACATAAAAATCTCCAGAGGTGCACTTCACAAAGTGCCATATCAAGGTATTATTATTTGTTGTTTTACTGAAGTTGGCTCTGTTTTAAGGGACATCCTATGGTTGTAATGAGCAAAAAGGATAAGGAGAAACAGAGTGGGCCATGTACTGTTAATATTTCAGCTATGCTTTTCTATATCCGAAAAGAGAATAAGGCTCACAACAGACAAATATGTTAAACCCAGATAAAGAATTCAAAAATCTGGCACTCTCTGAATTCTTAAACAGTAGGTAATACTTCTTACATATTGATAATGATTTGGACTTGGCAAAGCTAACTTACCTGTTCATGAGCCACCAATGCTTAAAATTCACTAGATATTCTGCCTCCGTGAAAAATTAGATCTGATTATGGTAACTTATTAAGTGTAAATTGCAGAATTACATCACCAGTTGATTGTATATTTTTTGAAATATCTCCAAGGCAAGTGTGATTTATATCACATTTGAAAATATGGCCAGGCACAGTGGCTCATGCCTGTAATACTAGCACTTTGGGAGACCAATGTGGGAAGATCCCTTGAGCTTAGGCATTGGAGGCTCATTGAGCTATGATTGCACCACTGCATTCCAGCCTAGGTGACAGAGGGAGACTCTGTCTCAAAAAAAAAAAAAAAAGTCATTAAGGATATTTTATTTAGCTTCTTGGATTATTAAAATTTAGCTATCATATGTAAGCAAATGTTCAAGAAAAGGATGGGCAACATCTTAAGAATTAAATCTTAAGAAACTCAAAAAGACATATTATGAAAGAAAAAACTTTCTAAAGTATATATCTCAATGTATTTGTGTCAGAATAAAATCAATGCACAGTGATAAATTAGAATATATGTAATATCTGTGTGTATACGTATATAACACATATATAGTCATCGAAAAGAAGTAGGTTAATTTGTGATTCACATTATTTATTCTGTCTGAATCTCAGTTTCCTCATTTGTGAAAGAAGGATGACAATTTCTAACCTTATAGAATTTACATTAGGTTAAATATTATAATGTGTGTTTGTGCATATGTGTGTATGTATATACTTGTTGGATACCATGCTAAATGTTGATTAAATTACTTATTCTCCAACCACAACCTTGTCAATACATTTGTTTTCTTTTATCAGTATTACAAACTTCAAATTCATATCTAGTCCATTTCTCATGTTTATGTGCAAAATAAAAAACTGAGCTTCATACTTTATATATCAGTTTACTGATAATTCTAAGACAAGAATATTTACTTTATTTGGTTAAAAACATAGGCTTTGGAGGTCAGCTCCCTGGAATGGCTGACTTCATTGTTTTACCTAAAACTTTCTAATGTGAACTAGAAAGCTGAATAAAACGTAAGTGACCCTTCTTCCCTCTATCTGGTTTTAGGAATTAGAGCACTGACAAGGATATAAGAATTTATAGGGTGAGAATTGCTTAAAAACAGAAGCTAAATAGGTAAGTTGAGTATTCGTGATTATAATAGCTGCTTAAGGTGGTTCCCAATTTCAAAATTGAAAGAAAAAACAGAAAGACTAAAAAGTGGAGTATAACTTTCAGCAGCCTCAAGGGCAAGGAAGGTCAAAAATTAAAGTTTAGGGCTCACCAAAAAGACAGAATGAGAGCATCCTTCAAAAATAATTTGTCTTTGAATGACTTCACTCATGAATAAAATAAGGTGATTGTCCCAAAACAGGCTTCCTCCTAGAAGAAAATGTAAATGCTCACTGAACGAAAAAGATATTTAAAGCCTTCAATTTTTCTAAAAAATTTCATTCACAATATCAAGCACACAAGCAAAATTAATCAGGTATACAGAAAGGAAACATTACACCAAAAAAAAAAGTAAACATAATAAATATGCAGGATATCAAGCCACTGGAATCATCAGGTATTGGTTTCAAGATAAGTTAATTCATATTTAAAAAGGAATTTAGGAACTGGTAAATATGTCAGAACAAAATGTTCAGACTAAAGGATAGGAAGATATATATGTATCATTAGATATACATAAAGGAAATAATGAAAGACCTAATACACATTTAATTCGAATATCATAAAGAGAAAAGTGAGAGAATAAGCCTGAAGCACTATTTTTCTTTGGTTATCAGCAATTCTATTTTGATATCCAGGTGTGTTTTCATTTGTATTTAGTATACTCAGGTTTCTAGTGTTTCTTCTATCTGTAGATGAAGAGCTTTAGTCTGTTTTGGAAATTTTTTGGCTACTATTACATTAAAAATTAAAGTCAATGAAAGATGTTTGCAGACAAAATATAATTTGGCAGCAGCAAAATAGCACTAAGAAAAATAAGGCAGATGAAAAATAATTCCAGACAAAATTAAACATATTCCTACAATAAGACCCAGCATTCATGTTCCTCGGTATATCATGTATGGGGGATTAACAATGTAATGTGAGAAGTAAAATAATAAAGTTTTAAAAGATAAAGGAAATACTATCTTCAGAATGTTGAGGTAGACAAATTTCTTAACAGGTCACTAAAAAACAGCATTAGCCATGTGAGAAAGTTTTAATGATTTAGATATACAAAATTGATATCTGTTAAAAGACATCTTTGATAAAATGAAAAAACAACCTATAATTCTGTGAAGTTGAAAATACATAAAGAATTCCTAAATATTACTAAGAAGTGACTAAATATTTAATTAAGATATTTGAACCTCCTACTTGCAAATGTATATCAAGATGGTCAATAACATCTATGAATAGATAGCCACCCTTTTCATGGAAATACAAAATATAACAACAAGATACCATTACTCGTTCCTTAAAATGAGTATGGTGAGAATGACTGTCAATACTGAGTTCTACTGAGGATCTATTATATGCCACTGGTGTTATTTACTGCAATGGATACTACCTATTTTGAAATCCATTTTTGTATCCAATACAATTTCCTACACTACTTCTACATATTTGTACATACCAAATAGAATCATGTACATACATCAACCAAAACACATGTATATAGGTAGTCATAAAATCATAATTTGTAATAATTTAAAAATGAAAACAAGTATCTGCTAACAGTGGGATGGGTAATAAATTATAGATCATGGGTAGAATACAGTTTTAGACACCATAAAAATGAATGAACTGATGTTGCATTCAACATAGAGTAACCTAACATTGTTGAATGAAGGAAGCAGAAATAAAACAGTATTTATTATATGTATATGTGTATTAATACATAAAATTCAAAAACAGATAAAACTAGCTGGAAGTCAAGATACAGGTTACCTTTAAGGTGAAGAGTAGAGGTAGTGATTGGGAAAAGGACTGGAGAGAAGTTCATTGAGTGTTGGTAATCCTCCATCTTCTCACCTGGGTGGTGGTTATATGGGTGTGTTTAACTTATGATAATTCATTAAGCTAAACCAATATAGTTTGTATATTTTCCTCTATGTATGTAGTACTTAAATTTTAAAAGGTTATTAATAAAATAGCTTAGGGTATAATTTCGGACTGCTTGGGTTAGAATTCCAGTTCCACAAGTTTCTAACTGTGACTTTGGGTAAGATATTAACAGTATGCTTTCCTGTTTTCTCGCTGCTTTTTTTTTTTGATAATGATAATAATATATGCATTGTATTTTTTGGGGGTGGAGTGTGAAGGAACAAGTGAATCGGTACATATAAAATGCCTAAATGAAAATCTGGCACGTTCACGCCTGTAATCCCAGCACTTTGGGAGGCCGAGGTGGGCAGATCACGAGGCCGAGATTGAGACCATCCTGGCTAACACAGTGAAACCCTGTCTCTACTAAAAATACAAAAAAATCTGCCAGGTGTGGTGGTGGGTGCTTGTAGTCCCAGCTACTCAGGAGGCTGAGGCAGGAGAATGGCGTGAACCCGGGAGGTGGGGCTTGCAGTGAGCCAAGACGGATTGTGCCACTGCACTCCAGCCTGGGCGACAGAGTGAGACTCTGTCTCAAAAAAAAACAAAAAACAAAAAAAACTTCTTCCTGGTTTAGTCTTGGGAGGGTCTATGTGTTGAGGAATTTCTCCATTTCTTCTAGATTTTCTAGTTTATTTGTGTAGAGGTGTTTATAGTATTCTCTGATGGTAGTCTGTATTTCTGTGGGATCGGTGGTGATATCCCTTTATCAATTTTTATTGCATCTATTTGATTCTTCTCTCTTCTTTATTAGTCTTGCTAGTGGTCTATCAATTTTGCTGATTTTTCAAAAAACCAGCTCCTGTATTCATTGATTTTTTGAAGGGTTTTTTGTGTCTCTCTTTCCTTCAGTTCTCCTCTGATCTCAAATGTCCAACAATGATAGACTGGATTAAGAAAATGTGGCACATATACACCATGGAATACTATGCAGCCATAAAAAATGATGAGATCATGTCCTTTGTAGGGACATGCATGAAGCTGGAAACCATCATTCTCAGCAAACTATCACAGGGACAAAAAACCAAACACCGCATGTTCTCACTCATAGGTGGGAATTGAACAATGAGAACACATGGACACAGCAAGGGGAACATCACACACCAAGGCCTGTTGTGGGGTGGGGGAGGGGGGGAGGGATAGCATTAGGAGATATAGCTAATGTTAAATGACGAGTTAATGGGTGCAGCACACCAACATGGCACATGTATACATATGTAACTAACCTGCACATTGTGCACATGTACCCTAAAACTTAAAAGTATAATAAAAAAAAAAGAGAGAGAAAAGAAAATCAGGCACACACAGGAGAACAGGAGACTAGTGAAAGTTAGCTGGCATCACATCACCACCATCTCTATATATTGGTGGTTAACAACAGTAAAAGGAGTTTAAATTAACCCTTCCTCCTGGTATTCACACATTTGGATAATCCCCTTTCACTAAGTGTGGATGGAACTGACAAGCGTCTAATCTATAGAATATGGCAAAGGTGATGGGATGTCACTCCCATGATTATGTTTCATAAAATTGTAACTTCCATCACGCTAGCAGAATCAATTGACCATTTTTCTTCCTGGCTTCGGTGAAGCAAGCTGCCATGTGAACAGGCTTAATAACAAGGAACTGAGGACAGCCTCTAGTCAACAACTAGCAATATACCGAAGTCCTCAAAAACCCACAAAGAACTGAATATTGCCAATGGCCTTACAAACTTAGAAGCAGATCTCTCCCCAGCTGAGTCTCAGACGAGACCCCAGCCATAGCCTTGTGAGAGACATTGAAGCAGAGAGCCCAGCTGAGCCGTGCCTCGTTTCCTGACCCTTGGTAACAGTGAGATAGTAAGTGTGTGTTATATTAAGCCTCTAAGTTTGTGATGCTAACACAACTAACATAGTATGACAAAGTCTGGCTTCAAGCCTCTCTTGGGAATTAAAGTGCCTAAGTTTTGTGATAAGTATTTTCATTAAAATTTACAGGAACACTTTTTCTTAATTCTGAGTTTGCAACTTTATTTTAAATTATTGAGTTTGCCTGTTATTTTTCAACCACGACAAAGTGGGACATCAGTTTTCCAAAAGATTTAATTACAAAGAACCATAAATTAAATGATTTTGTGCCCATTTACCCCCTATCAATATAACTGTTTAATGAGTTATTTTCCGTCAGTTGCAAGTCAACTACCAGAGAGAAAGCAATGGCTTAAATAGGACCACCCCAAAACAAACTAGTAATATCTTTTTTCTTTTCTTTTGTTGACTGGTGCCCCTTGACTGATAAATGGCATTGGCTCTTTCACAGTTTAATTTGAAGATCATAAATTAAAATGCCAATATGGACAAGCAAATATCACAAATGAAGCAACTGATAGTCAACAGTGGGAAGCAGTGGAGACCATGGTAAACTGGAAATGCAGTCTATATTCCAAAACATTTAAGTTTGGTATTTTAAAGTACCAAAGAGCAAACTTGGGCCATACACAGCACACATACAGGCTGTCAGTTTCTGGTCTCTGCTTTAGTGACACAGAAATAATAATATCACTAGACATTGTGATTCCATAAGGCCCAAGGTGGTCTCAGAGTCGAGAAGAATTTCTGATTCATGCTTCCTAGGATAGAAGAATTCCTTTCAAATACTCATAAACATGAAACCTGGCCATAGTCAGAGATTGCAGTCAAAAGCAGTGGGTATGAGGAGGTTCTACAAATTTTATTATTTACAGGACAAATGTATAAACAGAAAGGAGGTTGATAAGTCAATATTGGGCACCAAGTCATCAACTCTCTGCCTGTAACATATGCTCTTTATCTTCTAATTTATCACTAGTTTTAATATACCATCAAATTATTTTAAACACACTTATATTTCCATGTGCATGTTAAAATGTAATTGTTTGGCTAACTTTGCATTTTCCACACCAGACTGTGAGCTTCTCCTCAAGGGCAGGGCACTTGTGTTATTGCTTCTGGAAGATTGGCACCAACACAGAACTCATGACAGAGAAGGCACTTACCAGCAGGATAAATAAATGAGCAATTGAACAAATGTGTCTTTCTGAAACTAAGACCTCTATGTATAAAATAAGGATGTGTGTATGTGTATGGTGATATCTAAGTTCAACAGTAACTATAAAACACCATGGTACCTAAAAATTACACATCTACAGAGATTAGTATTTTCATTCAATCTCATCAATGATTTATTCAAATTGAATTAAGATGTCAGCCTAAGCTGGGTGTGGTGGCTCACACCTGTAATCCCAGCATTTTGGGAGACCAAGGTGGATGGATCACTTGAGGTCAGGAGTCAAGACCAGCCTGGCCAATATGGTGAAACCTCATCTCTACTAAAAATGCAAAAGTTAGCCAGGCATGGTGATATGCACCTGTAATCCCAGCTACTGGGGAGGCTGAGGCAGGAGAGTCACTTGAACCCAGGAGGGAAAAGTTGCAGTGAGCCGAGATTGCACCACTGCACTCCAGCCTGGGCGACAGAGTGAGACTCTGTCTCAAAAAAAAAAAAGATGTCAACCTAAATTGTGTGCAGGACAATTTTAGCCTAAGAATAGAAATGATGCTTTTGCAAAGTAATAAATTAAATAAATATTAGTGTTAAAATTTTTTAAAAACATCTTATTTAAGGTTTTGTTTCCTCCATTAATTAATTAGAACATTTAATTCTCAAATTATTTTGTAGATATCAAAAGCTGGATTTCTACTTTCTCCTGATTTTCACCAGGCCATTTCCTTTTTTTGCTTGGGTTTTGTTTGTTTGTTTGGAATTTACTGCATATCTATTACCATTATAGAGTACTTTTAAGTTTACATAGAAAATTTAGCAGATCAACCTTAGGTGAAGAAAGTAAACAGTCAGTGACCCTCTAGAAAAGATTGAATGGGCTATTAAGAAGGCCTTTTCTTCCTATATCTCAGAATCCTTTTATATTACATGGAAAGCTTGGCTCCCTGGGCTAAGATAAATATTCATATTTTAATGCGAAACTTTCAGAGTAATTCGGGTTTATTAACCCAATCTTGCAGCACCACTACAGATGGCTAAGAGCTGGCAGAGTCTGGCAGGGAAGGAGAGGGAGGGACACATGCAGTGCGGCTGACAAACTCCATGGCTCTGTGCAGCTGTGCATTATACTTTCAGTCCTAATTATGTCCTGGGGGGCAATGCTTTCTGCTCAGCAGAAGAAAATCTCGGAGCCAAAGAAAGTAAGACTGTACTAAAAGATCCTGCTCATAAGACTGAAAGTGTGGTTGAGAATTCATAAACACAACTTTTTTGGTTGTTGTTGAGTACTGTCACAGTTGCTAGAAGTAGGAAGTAATGATTTGTATTTAAAATAGGTAAAGGGTAGATATCACTGTGTGTTTCTGATGCCTTCTTGACTCGATGCACTTTTATTTGGTGTTGTAGCAGGGGGGTTGGAAAATAATATCTCAACATGCTATAGAATTGAGGACGTTGTAATTCTTTTATTTTCACCTATTGATAATGTTAATATCTTAATTTATGAAATATCTATTGAGTATCTACTCTAGGCTGGGAACTATAATACCTGCTCGGTCATAGTAAGAATAAGAAACAAATGTTTTCTGTCCTCAGGAGCTTTCTGTCTGTTTGGAACACAAACGAAAAAACAGTTAGTTTGTAAAGTAGTATGTCCTAGATTTTAGCCAGATGAATTTCTTAGGAACTTTGGCCAGAGAGTTTCTGTGGCATCATGGGTTGGAAAGTTAGATGACAATGAGATAAGAATTAAATAGCAACGCAGCAATAGAGGCTGAAAGTTCTGTGGAGACAAAAGTGACTCTATCGTGGATGCTAATCTGCCGGTTGACTTCTGATTGGCCCTAGCCCCATGAATGTCTCCTGGTTTCTGTTTTATTTTCTGTCCCTAGTGCAAGAACATGTACTCCTACTTTTAGATCAAAGCAACCTTGATGTTATCACATAAATTAGAGGCTGTGACGCACACAGGATTCGTGCTGGTTTTGGAGGGTTGCCTTTAACTGTTTTGCTGGAGCACATAAGACCCTTTCCTTATACCTTGGGTTTGGGAGGAACAGTGAGGAGATCTACCTGTCTTGAGGCTGCCAAGACCACGCTTCTGCCTGTAAGCGCCCCTAATAAATCACCCAATACTGACAAACTGGATTTGTCTGCCTCCTTCTTGGATTTCTGGGCTCCTTTGGCATTTGGGGACTGCTTTGCACACATGGCCCTTTCACAGAACAAACACATTTACATATCTCCTTAGAGGCTTGGCTATAAAGGAAACAAAGAAATAATGAGGCAATTCCTGAAGATTTCCTTAGATGGGGTTAGGGAGCATATTAAGTTTTTGTTGTTATTATTTTTAATGAAAAATGTACTAGCAATGAGGGAGAGATGAAAAGTACAGACAGTGAGATAAAAGTCTGCAAAGTGAGATCTTAAGGGGTATTTTAAGGCGGATTAGAAAATGATGGTTTACATGTGTGGAAGGATGGGTCCTAGAGCAAAGGGGTAACTCTCTTTCAATGTAACTGTTCAAGAGGTAAAAAGGGTAGATGCACATGCCCATTGTTTTAAAAATGTAAGGGTAGGAAGAACATGAGTTACTTAATGACTTCTATTTTCCTTGTGATGGATGAAAGTTTCTTTTCCTGGTGGTGAAGGATGAGAAAACAGTGTTGTTCTTGGAGGCAGAGAAAGATGGTGAAATAGAAAGCTTCACCAATCATGCTCCCCATAAAGACACCAAGTGAACAACTATCTACACAGAAAAACAAAACAAAACAAAAAACACCTTCATAAGAACCAAAAATCAGGTAAGCACTCACAGTGCCTGGTTTTAACTTCATATTGCTGAAAGAGGCACTGAAGAGAGAGAAAAAATAGTCCTGAACCACAGATGCCACCCCTCCCCCACCCCCAGCAGCAGTAATGTGTTGCATAGAGCATCCCTGGGCACTGGGAAAGGGAGAACACAGCAACTGTGAGGCACTGAACTCAGTGCTGTCCTGTTACAGCAGAAAAAGCCAGACCAAATTCAGCTGATGCCTGCACACAAAGGGAGCATTTAAACCAGCCCCAGCCAGAAGAGAATTGCAGATCTCATTGGTTTGAACTTGAGTATCTGCAAACCTCACCACCAAGAGCTACAGCACTCTGTGTCTCCAAATAAATGTGAAAGGCAGTCTAGGCCATAAGGACTACAAGTCTTTAGGTGATTCCTAGTGCTGAACTAGGCTGAGAGACAGTGGACTGAGTGGGCACAGAAAATACCGAGACACCCATCTGGGGCAGCTAAGGGAGTGCTGGCATCATGCCTCTCCTAACCCCAGGCTACACAGCTCAAGGTTCCAAAAGAGACTCCTTCCTTCCACTTTAGGAGAGGAGAGGGCAGAGTGGGAAGGATTTTGTCTTGCTTCTAGGACACCAGCTCAGCTACAGCAGGATAGGGCACCCGTCAGTCGTGAGGCCCCTGTTCGAGGTCCTACCTCCCAGATGACATTTCTAGACACACCCTGGACCAGAAGGGAACCTGCTGCCTTGAAGGAAAGGACCCAGTCCTAGCAGCATTCATCACTGCTAGCTGAAGAGCCCCTGGGCTCTGAATAAACAGCAGCAATACCCAGGTCCTACACTGAGGGCCTTGTGTGGGTCTCTGAGACTTACTAGCTTCAGGTGAAACTCAGCACATTACCAGCTATGGTGGCTACAGGACAAAATTCCTTCTTCTTGAGAAAAGCAGAGGGAAAAATAAAGAAGACTTTGTCTTGCAGGTTAGCTACCAGCACAGCCACAGGGAGGCAGAGCACCAAGCAGGCTCTTGGGATCACCAATTTCAGGGCTTGACTCTTGGATGGCATTTCTGGACCAGCCTTAGGCCAGAGGGGAGCCACTGCTCTGAAGACTGAGTCCCAGGCCAGGCAGCACTTGTGACAAGCTGACTTAAGAGACCTTGAGCCTTAAGGGGACATTGGTGGTAGACTGACAGTACTCCTTATGCCCTGGGGTGGTGGTAGCTACCAGGTGAGGCTCCTCTGCCTGTGGAAAGGGAGGGAAGAGTGGAAAGGACTGTGTCTTGTAGCTCAACCTGCAATTCAGTTCAGCTTCAATACAATAGAACCTCAAGTAGACTTTTAAGGTTTTTTGACTCTAGTCCCTAAGTCCCAGATGGCACTTCTGGACCCACCCAGGGCTTAGGGGACCTTGCTGCCCTGAAGGGAAGGGCACAGGCCTAGCTGGCTTTGCCACCTGCTATTTGTAGAGCCCCAAGGCCTTTAGTGAACATAGGTAGTAGACAGGGAGTAGTTACAGTAGGCCTTGGGCAAGACCCAGTGCTATGCTGGCTTCAATTCTGACCCAGTATAGCCAAAGTAGTGGTGGACACAGTGGTGCTCATGTCAGTTCACCCCCTGCTTTAGGTGACTCAGAACAGAGAGAAGCACTCTGTATGTCTGGGAAAATGTAAGGGAAGAGAACAAGAGTTTCTGCCTGGTAATCCAGAGAATTCTCCTGGATCTGGTCAAAGACCATCTACAAGTCTATAAGAACCACAATGTTACTGGGCTTGTGGTGCTTCCTAAACCAGATACAGCTTATATCACAACACCCAAGTCCTTTCAGATATTTGGAAAGCCTTCCCAAGAAGAATGGATACAAATAAGCCCAAACAGTAAAGACTAAAATGAATACCTAATTCTTCAGTACCTAGACCCTGAAGAACATCTACTAGCATTGACACCATCCAGGAAAACATGACCTCACCAAATGAACTATCTATAGTTCACTGTAAGGAATGTGAGACCAATCCTGGAGAAACAGAGATACTTGGCCTTTCAAACAGAGAATTCAAAATAGCTGTATTGAGGAAATTTTAAAAAATTCAAGATAGCACAGAGAAGAAATTCAGAATTATGTCAGATACATTTAATGAAGAGATTGACATAATTTAAAAAGAATAAAGCAGAAATTCTGAAACTGAAAAATGCAGTTGGCAAGCTGAATAATGCATCAGAGTCCTTTAATAGTAGAATGGACCAAGCAGAAGAAGGAATTAGTGAGCTTGATGACAGGCTATTTGAAAATACACAGTTGGAGTAGACAAAAGAAAAAAGAATAAAAAACAATCAAGCGTGCCTACAGGATCTAGAAAATAGTCTCAACAGGCCAAAGCTGAGAGTTATTGGCCTTAAAGAGAAGGTAGAGAAAGAGATAGGGGTAGAAAGTTTATTCGAGGGGATAATAATGGAGAACTTCCCAAACCTAGAAAAAATATCAATATCCAAGTCTGAGAAGGTTATAGAACACCAAGCAGATTTAACCCGAAGAAGACAACCTCAAGGCATTTAATAATCAAACTCCTAAAGGCCAAGGATAAAGAAAGGATCCTAAAGTCAGCAAGAGAAAAGAAACAATACAATACAATGGAGCTTTCCAGGCTCCCCAGCTCCAAGTCTAGCAGCAGACTTTTCAGTGGAAACCTTACAAGCTAGGAAAGAATGGCATACCATGTTTAAAGCATTGAAGGAAAAATCTTTTACTGTAGAATAGTATATGTGGCAACAAATATCCTTCAAATATGAGGGAGAAATAAAGGCTTTTCCAGACAAACAAAAGCTGTGTGATTTTGCCAATGCCAGGCCTATCCTGCAAGAAATGCTAAATGGAGTTCTTCAACAGAAAGAAAAGGACATTAATGAGCAATAAATAATCACCTGAAGGTAAAAAAACTTACTGGTAATAGTAAGTACATAGACATAGAATATTATAACACTGTAACCATGGTATGTAAACTATTATTACCCTAAGTAGAAAGAATAAATGAAGAATCCAATAAAAAATAATAACTACAACAACTTTTCAAGACATGGTACAATAAGATATAAACAACACAAAGTTAAAGAATGGGCATGAAGTTAAAGCATGGAGTTCTTATTAGCTTTCTTTTTTTGCTTGTTTGTTTATGCAAATAGTGTTAAGTTGTTATCAGGTTAAAATAATGGGTTGTAAGATAATATTTGCAAGCCTAATGGTAACCTCAAGCCAAAAAACATACAATAAATACACAAAAGATAAAAAGTGAAAAATCAAATTATATCACCAGAGAAAATCACCTTCACTAGAGGTAGACAGGCAGTAAAGAAAAAATAAAGACCATAAAATGACCAGAAAATAGATGACAAAATGGCAGGAGTAAGTCCTTACTTATCAATGATAACGATGAATGTAAATGAACTAAACTCTCCAATCAAAAGATATAGACTGGCTGAATGAATGAATAAACAAAACCCACTGATCTGTTGCCTACAAGAAACACATTTCACCTATAAAGACACACATTGACTGAAAATGAAGAAATGGACAAAGACATTCTATACCAGTGGAAATAAAAAAAAGAGCAGGAGTCACTATACTTATGTCAGACAAAATAGATTTCAAGACAAAAATCTGTAGGAAGAGAAAAAGAAGGTCACTATGTAATAATAAAGGGGTCAATTTGGCAAGAGGATATAACAATTTTAAATAGACAGGCACCTAACACTGGAGCACCCAGATATAGAAAGAAAATATTACTTAGAGCTAAAGAGAGAGATAGGCCCCAATACAATAATAGCTGGAGAATTCAACGCCCCACTTTTAGCATTGGACAGATCTTCCAGACAGAAATTCAGCAAAGAAACATCAGACTTAATCTGTACTATAGACCAAATTCCTTCTGCTTGAGAAAAGCAGAACATTTCATCTAAGAGCTACAGAAAACACATTTTTTTCCTCAACACATAGATCATTCTCAAGGACAGAACATATGTTAGGTTACAAAACAAGTCTTAAAACATTCAAAGAAATTGAAATAATATCAAGTATCTTCTCTGATCACAATGGAATAAAACTAGAAATTAATAAGAAGAATAATTTTGGAAATTATACAAATACATGAAAATTAAACAATATGCTCCCGAATTACCAGTGTGTCAATGAAGCAATTAAGAAGAAACTTAAACATGTATTGAAACAAATGATAATGAAAACACAACATACCAAAACCTATGGGATACAACAAAAGCAGTACCTCTTAAGAGGGGAAGTTTGTAGCTATAGGTACGTACATCAAAAAATAGGAAAAACTTCAAATGAACAGTCTAGTGATGCATCTTAAAAAGCTAGAAATGCCAGAGCAAACCAAACCCCAAATTAATAGAAGAAAAAATAATAATAAGTATCAGAACAGAAATCAATGAATTTCAAAACTTGAACAGACTAATAACAAGTAACAAGATTAAAGCCATAATAAAAAATTTTCTGCTAAAGGAAAGCTTGAGCCCCAGTGGCTTCACTGCTGAATTTTACCAAACATTTAAAGAAACATTGATACCAATCCTACTCAAACTGTTCTGAAAAATAGAGGAGGAAATACTTCCAAACTCATTATATGAGGCCAGTATTACCTTTATACCAAAACCAGAAAAAGATATATGAAAAAAAGAAAACCTCAGACCAATCTCTCTGATGAATACTAATGCAAAAATCCTCAACAAAATACCAGCAAACAGAATTCAACAATACACTAGAAAGATCATTCATCATGACCAAGAGGGATTTATCTCTGGATAACTATGTGTCACATTCTGTTGATATGAAGTGTCACAGTGATAATTTGCATATATCAATCAAATCAACTATCCTTGATAAGATAAAACACATATAATCATTTCGATTGATGCTGAAAAAGCACTTGATAAAATTCAACATCCCTTCATAATAAAAACCCTCACAAAACTGGGGATAGAAGGAACATACCTCAACATAATAAAAGTCACATATGACAGATCCACAGCTAGTAGTATCATATTGAATGGGGAAAAATTGATCTAAGATCTGGTATGCAGCCAGGATGCCCACTGTCACTACTATTATTCAACATAGTACTGCAAGTCCTAGCTGTAGCAATTAGACAAGAGAAAGATATAAAGGGCATCCATATTGGAAAGGAAAAATTTGAATTATCCTTGTTTGCAGATTATATGATCAGATATTTGGAAAACCCTAAAGACTCTACAGGAAAACTATTAAAACTGATGAACAAATTCAGTAAAGTTGCAGGATACAAAATCAACATAAAAAATAGTAGCATTTCTATATGCCAACAGTGAACAATGTGAAAAAGAAATTTTAAAAAGTAATCCCATTTATAATAGCCATACATAAAATAAAATACATAGGAATTAACCAAAGTAATAAAAGATCTCTATAATGAAAGCTATAAAACATTGATGAAAAAAATAAATAGGACACCCAAAAATGGAAAAGTATTCTAGGTTCTTGGATTGGAAGAATCAATATTGCGAAAATGTCCATACTACCCAAAGTAATCTACAGATTCAATGTAATCCCTATCAAAATACCAGTGAAATTCTTCACAGAAATAAAAAAGAAATCCTAACATTTATATGGAACCACAAAAGACCCAGAATAGCCAAAGCCATCCTAAGCAAAAAGAACAACACTGAAGAAATCACATTACGTGACTTCAAATTATACCCCAGAAATATAGTAAACAAAAGGGCATAGTACTGGCATAAAAATAGACACACAGACCAATGGAACAGAATGTAGAACCTGTAAACAAATCCACACACCTGCGGTGAATTCATTTTTGACTAAGGTGCCTGGAAAATACATTAGGGAAAAGACACCCTCTTCAAAAATTGGTAGCAGGAAAACTGGATATCCCCACACAAAAGAATGAAACTAGACCACTATGTCACACCATATACAAAAATCAAATCAAAATGGATTAAATACTTAAATCTAAAACCTCAAACTATGAGACTACTACTCCCCATGACATTATTCTGGACAAAGATTTCTTGAGCAGTAACCCACAAGCACAGGCAGCCAAAGAAAAAAATGGACAAGTAGGATTACATCAAGTTAAAAACTTCTGTGCATCAAAGAAGTTTTTAGTAAAACTTCTTTGATCAACAAAGTAAAGAGACAATCAACAAAGTAAAGAGACAATCCACAGAATGGGAGAAAATACTTGCAAACTACCCATCTGACAAGGGATTGATAACCAGAATATATAAGGAACTCAAACAACTCTATAGGAAAAAGTAAAATAATCTGGTCAGAAAATGGGCAAAAAATTTGAATAGACATTTCCCAAAATATGAGATATGAATGGCAAACAGGTATATGAAAAAGTGCTCAACATCGCTGATCATCAGATAAGTAAAAATCAAAGCTACAATGAGATATCTTCTCACCCAGTTAAAATGGCTTATATCCAAAAGACAGGCAATAACAAATGCTGGTGAGGATGTGGAGAAATGGGAACTCTTGTGCACTGCTGATGGGAAAGTCAGTTAGTAAAACTACTATGAAGAAAAGTTTGGAGGTTCCTTAAAACATCAAAAATTGAGCTACCATGTGATCCACCAATCCCACTTCTGGGTATATACTCAAAAGGAAGGAAACCAGTATATCAAAGAGATATCTGCACTCCTATGTTTGTGGCACTACTGTTTACAATAGCTAAGATTTGGAAGCAACATAAGTGTCCATCAACAGATAAATGGATTTTAAAAAGTGTTGTACATATACACGATGCAGTACTACTCAGCCATGAAAAAAAGAACGAGATCCATTCATTTGCAACAGCATGGATGAAACTGGAGATCATTATGTTAAGTGAAATAAACCAGGCACAGAAAGACAAATAACACATGTCTCACTTATTTGTCCAATCTAAACATCAAAACAATTGAACTCATGGATATAGAGAGTAGAAGGATAATTACCAGAGGCTGGGAAAGGTAGTGGGGGTCTGGATGGAGGTGAGGATAGTTAATAGATACAAAAAAATAGAATAAATAAAACCTACTATTTGGTAGCACAATAGGGTGACTATAGTCAATAATGAATTAACTGCACATTTTAACATAACTTAAAGAGTGTAATTGGATTGTTTGTAACTCAGAGGACAAATGCTTGAGAGGACAGATACCCCATTCCCCATGATGTGCTTATTTCACATTGCATGCTTGTACCAAAACTTCTCGTGTACCCTATAAATATATACACCTACTATGTACCGACAAAATTTCTTTTTAAAAAGAGAACAAAAAAAATGGCGTTGATTTAACTGAAGGTTTGGAGAAAGAATAAAAGGTTTAGAACACTGCAGACATACATAACTAGAAAAAAGTGAAAGTGTGCTGAACAAAGCTGAAAAACCAGATGACAGCAGAATATCTAGATTACGTTTGAAGTAATCTATGAAGCTGTGGATTTCCTTTAGCTGATTTTAACATTTGACATTTCATACAGGGATATAGTTGGATTTGCTCATGCTTGGGGCTTTCCTGTTTGGGTACAAAAGGAAATGAAACAACTTGTTAAAGTTAATAATAACAAAAGAATTTAAATGAAGACCCACAGAGTCTAAGCAATACACAGAAGGAAATAAGGTCAAGATAGGGCAGAATGTTAAGAAGAAGAGAGTTCAAGGAATGGATATTTAGAGTTATCCAAAAAAACTCTAAAAACTCCAAATACTCAGTGGGTGTACAATCAGGAGATTGTAGTCAAAAGGTTAAGTGGCTGAATTTATTATTTCAGATTAAATGTTTTCCGTATAGCTGTGTGATCCAAAAAAAAATCAAGACTGAAGTTACTGAGAAAAATACATCACAGGAAAGTGTATCCATGTAATAAAATGGCACTTGTACACCTTAAATCTATACAAATAAAAACACAAGTGAATGCAACATTTTCATGCTGCCCTGGACTAAACGTTTGAGACAGGGCACATAATAAAAAATAAAAATATCGAATAAATATAAGGCCTGAGAGTTAAATGGGACACTCACTAAATTGAACCAGGATGATGGTAACGTGTGTGGTAGAAGAAGGTCTGTAAGTAGGTGCCACAGTCTTTAAAGAATGAGAGTGAGTGAGCACGAGGTCAATAGGGTACCAAGCCAGGGGGCAAGAAATGCATGAGTCTGGAAGCACCGGGTGTTTTAACAGATAGGTGGGAAAGAGATGTTCTTGATGTATCAGAGAGAATGAAGAGGTTTTGAGCCCTGCTTCCGTAACAAGGAGTACACAGTTCTCACAGAATAAGCACTCTCCATTTCACCTGTTGCCTTATCTTTAACAAAGGTATATAAGCTCTGATCCCAAATGAGATAACATGAGTGAATGGGTTTTGAAAAACACAATCTATGATAAACCAGACATCCTGATGAAACTTCTGCTACACAATATTGAGACAGAATATAACTGTCATCTTTTTAAATGCACTGATTTCACTGGAAAGTAAGAGAAATCCCCAAGATTCAACCTAAATAGGAAGCAGTAAGTCAGGGTTGCAACTATGTATTAAAGCCAGGACAGCAGCTGCTAGGATATTTCCAATCCTGGTAAAAATACAGCCTTGAGTGTTAAATGCCTCATGGAATACAAGATCTTGGGCTTGTACACAGGGAGATTTGGAGCTATAGCCCTGAAATAAAATTGGAACTTGTGAAATTCTATAACCTCAATTCAAGAATAGACCAGAAAAAAATCACTTAACACCAGAAAAAGGTGGTGAGGAAAATCTGTTTGCTCACCCAGACTTTCTGTTTCAGTCTGAACCAGAGGAACAAAAGCAGGAGGAGCTCCCCTGGGAAATTATAGCCATAGGCCTGGTCTCATGAGGGTTTGCATTTGAGAGTTATCTAAGATGGGTATTCCGACTGGGCCTCAGGTAGGAGCAAATACAAATTACCTTAGAAGACACATCCTCAACCCAAAATAATAGGATTTCCAGAGAAAACCAGTCAGGAGCATGAGAATTTAAAACTTTCATTTGACTGAATTTTAGTCAAAGTTTCTCTTTCTTGTGGGATATTAACTTACAAGGGGGCAGGTCTCCCTCTCTCTCTCTTTTCTATTGCTGATTTTTTCTAAGAGCTTAGAAAAATGCAGCTACTTCTATCTCAAGTAGAGAGCAAACTTGGTGGGGGGCTGGTTCAAGGCCTCTAATTAAAAATACCTATTCCTCCTATGTATCTTCCTTCTATGGTGTGGAAATCATTCTAGAATCTTGCTATATTCTCAGACACCCACTCCTGGATACAAGGCACATGTGTCCTCTGTGCTGATGTCCCTAACCTACTTGAGAAGTGGGTCTCTCTTATTTTGTGCTGGGAACATAAGCAAGAGGAGGCCCACAGCAGCGTGTCCAACATCTAACTCTTTTGTTTCTTTTATATCCTTCTCTCTATTTTCTTACTCAATAAACTTTCTGTATATCCCTTCTGTGTAGAGAGTAAGACCTTGACCTTTGATGCACAGTAAAGACAAGCTTTTAAATTCAAATGTTTTTCCCTAAAAACTATTGTGTGTGCTATAAGCTTCAAATGTCTGTTTCAGAAATCCAAATGTCACTTCTTTTTTTCTCTGAATTGATGCAATAAACTTGCTACCCTGAGGGCTGCAAAAATGAAAAATCATAGCTTTATAGTTTGGTAAAAGACAACACGCAAGGCAGTCAAAGATTTAAAAAATAATATTTCATGCCTACTAACGCTGTCAAATACTACCTTGTGACATTAACAGAGACTAAACATTTGTGAAGATGTTTAATCATATGTGCCTTTTACAGTCTGTGGCAAAATTGCCAATTACTAAGATAAACAAGGTGTGGTTAAGTTTATGGTGGGGAATAATTAAAGAGAGGATAAAACTGGATGGAATAAGAGCCACTTATTAAGCTCAACTAGCCCTGGTTATCTATGTTTTAGCTATACATACATACCAAAATAACTTTACAAATTTTTGAACAAATAGTAGAAATCAGAGGTGATATGAAGAAAGATAAAAAGAAATGAGGAATGCTATAATGTTGTAATCCAGCAAACTTTTCTTCCTTTTGGAAAATGCAAGGAAAATTTCTTTGAGTGGCCAAAGGATATAGTTTTTATTATCCATTTTTTATGGAGACTAATTGTTGGGCACTATTAAAAGAAAATATGTCAACATGAAATGCATGGTGGCCAATATATAATAGCCAATCAAATACACTTTTTTTCAATGATGATAAAGACTATTTTGGTTGTAAATGGACAGAAAACCTGACACACATTTGCTTAAGTGAAATGATTTCTTTGGAATTCATACAGGGTCTCAAAAGATCTGACTTCACTTTCTCTCTGCCTGTTAACATATCTGTCTGTAAATTGACTCTATTCTCAGACAGCCTTTTCCCTTGAGATCTCAGGATTATTGCCAGCTGCATCCAGAGATGCAGTCTTCCAGGTAAGTGTGTGGTATCAAGAGAAAGTAAGTTTCTTAGTTTCTAAGACTCAGGCAAAATCTTGGGTCTAACTCTCCTTGAATAGGATTGGGCTGTGTGCTTATCTCTGTAAGAATCACCATAGCCATTGTATGGGTGATTGGCTTAGGCCAACTAAGTCTTCTCTGGGAGATAAGAGGGAGTTGCAACCAGCCAAATCCAAATGGGCTTCAAGTGAAGAAAGGATAGGCTCTCTAGAAAATTCAGTGGCATGTCTTCAGTCGAAAAGTGAAAACCTATAAAGCCTATTGCAGTTCACATTTTTTTTTACCTTTTGCATATACTCTTAATGAGCTTAATTTATACAGCATTGCAGAAAATTCTGAAAACAAGGAACAATTGTATTCTAAGCTACATATACTACAAAGATGGATAAAGGTTTTCTTTAGTAGAAATCTTTAAATTTGAATAAAGCAGAAAGTCTTATTTAAAATATGGAGAAAATATCTATTCTCTCCTTTCTTAAAACAGAACACTGATTTTACTTAGGGTTTATTTTACTTAGCTAAAGTCATTAATTTCCCTTCCTCCCTTTTAACCATGTTTGGTCAAATAACATTTGGCTAATGATACTAAACCAAGTTTTTTTGTTTGTTTGTTTTTTTCCTTTTTTTTTTTTTTTTTTTTTTTTGAGATGGAGTCTCACTCTGTCACCCAGGCTGTAGTACAGTGGCACGGTCTCGGCTCACTGCAACCTCCACCTCCTGGGTTCAAGCAATTCTTATACCTCAGCCTCCTGAGTAGCTGGGACTATAGGTGTGCACCACCACGCCCAGCTAATTTTTTTGTATTTTTAGTAGAGACGGGGTTTCACCATCTGGCCGAGCTGGTCTCGAACCTTGTGATCCACCTGCCTTGGCCTCCCAAAATGTTGGGATTACAGGCGTGAGCCACCATGCCTGGCCTAAACCAAACATTTTATAGAACCTCAATAAAGAATTTTCAGAAGAAATTGACTTGGGAAGAATGTCATTTTCTGCTCCCCACTTCCACATGCTTCCTGTTGACTTAAATACAGATACATCACTGGAGCTCTAGTGGTTTTTTAAACCATGAGGTGATATTTAGGGTAGAAGTTACAGTCTTAGGATAATGGAGAGTAAGTTAGAAGTAAATTTCATGAGTATCTGGTAATCATGAACCACCATATCAGTTTCAATCTATCTGAATATGGACTTCTTTTATACAAGGAAGAAATTTATATATGACTTAAACTACTGTTATTTGGGTATTTTCTGGCATCTAAATCTAATTCAAAGACATTCAAATTTATAAGTTATCATGCATGTCCCTGGAGGCAGAAGATTCTTTAGGTGATCTTTGGAGACCACTTGCGTCATAAAATTGTCATTATTTTATGCCAGGACCTCCAAATCTGCAATTTCTCATATTCTTTGAACTCTAAATCCACTGTTGTTTCAACTCTCCAGATAAAGTAGAATCCAGGTCATTTGCCAATTAGTATACTGATGTTTGCAAGCCTAAAGACTTGCTTGCCCCAGAAACCTTCCCTGTAGCCACTACAGCCTCATGAAAATATTTTCATCATTTTCTAGTTAATCTGGAGCATTAACTCCAAAAGTTTCAACTACAAAAATACATGTAAAGATAAAAATAAAATTTTTTTTAAAAGTTTAGATGTCTTCTATCTCTCTTATATTTTCATCTCTTGCTTTTATAAGGCCACTTTGCTACCCTTTTTACAAGTGCACTTATTTAGTACTATGGGACCTAGGTAGAAGTGGCTAACTATGAGAATAAATATACAATGGTATTAACCCATTGAAAGCAAAAAGTCTAAATAATCAGATGGAGAAGTGGGGAAGGGGAAGTTTTGTGCATCTGTCTCACAGAGGTACGGTGATGTTGATATGCAATACAGAAAGACAGTTTCTGAAAATAGGAAGAAAAGTTTCTATGAAAGGAAAGGAAAAATTAGCTTATATCCTGGAGCATGATCTAACATGTGGGTAGAATGAGCCTGATATGAACTACTTTTTTAGAACAAAGAAAGAACTGTGGAAAATATCCAAAGCCAAAAGGAGCCATGAGAATGAAAGAAATAGTAAGAACTGAGACTTCAATCAAAAAGGGGTGAGGCCAAGGATGAAAAACAAATCTTAAGCCAAGTATTTTCAGTGAAATTTGATAAGATAGAATGTATAAGTCAAAATAACAGACTAGACAAGAGGCCATGAAATATTATCAGAAGTAATGCATTAGATTTTCACCACTACATTAATAAATAGCACCTTACAATAACACCCATTTATTATCTCACAGTTCTGTAGGTTGGAAATTCACTGCAGTTCTCACTCAGCTAAAAATTTCATTCCTTTCTGGAGGCTCTGGGGAAGAATCCACTTCCAAGTTCACTCAGATTTTTGTTATAATTTATTTCCTTGCAGGTATAGGGCTGAAGCATGCATTTACTTGTGGCTGTCAGGTAGAGACCACCCTCATTTCCTAGAGGCGTGTCTTCCATCTTTGCATGTGAGCTCTTATGCCTTAGAGCCAACAGTGGATCATCAAAACTTCTCAGTGTTAGAATCTCTATGATTTCCCTTATCCCACATCCCTCTTGCCTTTCTGCTATATTTCTGTAATCACAGTTCTCTGCTTTAAAGGACTCAACATGGTTAGATTAGGGCTATCCATATAGTCTAGCTCCATAATTTTTATTACATTTGCAAAGTCACATTGTCTATGTTCATGGGTTTCAGAAGTTAGAGTGTGAACATGTTTGAGGGACTGTGCTGCCTACCATAGGTGGTAATACATAAAATGGCCAGTGCATTTTCTTATGGATATGGAAGAAAAAAAATTAAGAACTCTGATAACCCCTATTATCTTTCTGGTACCCTTCTGAACATATCCACTGTGGAATTCAGAGGCGCATATAGGTATATCTCTTAGGATTTATACTCTGTTCTCTTGAACTAGGATTATAATCCATCCTGAGGTTAGTCTTTAGAGAATAGCTTTACCAAAAGGTTCTCAAATCAAGGAGAATGTATTTATGGTATAGAAACCCTAGATCTACCCAATATTGTATAATTTTTAGAAAATTGCATAATAATCTAAAATGGAGTGATTCTCAGGGATTAGAGTTTGTCTATATTCTAACCTCATAAGAACAGAAATGTTTTGACTCTTAGATGTGTCCAAGTGGCTAGTTTACTCTTTCAACAATACCTGCTGACATCTTAGAACCTCTTTCACAGTGTTATTACCATTTGTGAAATAAGCCTATGTTTAAAACTTTTTTTTGTAGAAAACATTAATAATGGAGTCAAGGCTTCAAGGCAAAGGGAAAGAATTTGGACTTTAGGTCAAACAAACCCAGTTTTGAATTCTAGTTAAACACTTCCTAGCTGTGGTACTTAGCTGTGGTATTCAGCTCATCTCTTTTGATAGTAGACTACAAGCCACACAGGAGCAAAGAATGTTACCTGTTTCTCCAATACTATATCCCTAGCATCTCAAACATCACTGGCACATAGTAGGTCAGAAAATACACTAATATTTTAATAAATAAAAACCTCTGAAAACTTTACTAAGATATAGACATAAGTGGTATTTTTATAATTGTAATTGTTAACCTAATTTTACTCAATATTTGCATAGAAAGATGAAAAAAGACAAGTTGTAATAAACAGAGAATAATATATAGTCCATTGTCTTGTTAAATGAGTCACCATGAATATTTAAGGGCAACTTATTATCTTGGTAGTACCATCACAAGCAGTAATTATCCTTGAGGTGTTAATAACTATCCTCTAGTGGAAACCATTGTTCCTATGGATAAGAAGAAACACAAAGCTTACATAGAGCATCTCTGTTGAATCCAAGCTCCATTATAACATTGGTAAGTCACTTAAGTATTCTGTTGATAAAAGGGAATAATAATTTCTTATTTCATTGATAAATCAACCAATGTTAGGAAAGATTATAATGGGGAAATTCCATGAGAGATGGACACTATTTGAGCAGCAAGATGAGAAGCCCTAAGCAAAAATGATGTTTTCCTATTAGTGATAGGAAATTAAGAGAAAATTAATTGGAATGCATTTGTACATGTTAGTACTTAATAAGCACTTAATAACTATTTGGTAATCATATTGATTAATGGATGAATTAATATTTTGAATTTTCCAAAAAGAAAAAATCAACATCTACTCTTTTTCATATCTGAAGTTGAGATATTATGCAGATATGTAGTTATAATTCAACTAAAGAGTTTAGAATAATACACAAAGCCAATGTGTGCGATTCCAATAAGAAATTCCAAAGATACGTAATGACTACGTTACTATCACACCTTAGATGTTTAGAAGAGGAAGAAAAACTGCAAAAGAGGCTCATTGTAGAACTCATAGGAAACTAAAAGTTAAGGAGTCATCAAGAGTTATATTTAGGAAACTCAGCAGATGCTGGTGTAGCAAGAGAACCATTCAAAGTGCAAAAGCCATCCACAGAATATGGCATAATTAGCAATGCAAGAACTGTGCCATGTTGAAGACCCAGTACTCTTTGGACAGAATAAAATTAACCCTTCCTAGGTACATACCTGCAACTACTGCTAGACTGAGTGCTCTCTATGGCACTTAGGCTAAACATGCTAAGTAAACTTGTAAAATCCAGGCCAATTTCAGAAATGAATGCTTCTGCCTATCTCACCTTTTTATCCTTAGAAAAAGCATAACTACTCAGAAAAGCTATGACACTGGGATACTTGGCCTCAAAGGCACAGTGAGCTGCTTAGCTTCAAAGGACCCATGTGATTATTATTTGCCAGAGTATCCTGGGAAGTACATCAACCCTCCTAATGCACTCTCTGTTTCTTATTATTTTCTTTCCTTAACTTTAGTGTAAGCTTCATGATTGCCATTTTGACTATCTTTTCAAGAATGTTTGTATAGTGAACAGTTTTGGAAGATCAAGATTGTCTTTCTCTGGACCTACTTCATAGGTCAGTTGTTAACTCTGTGCCCTAGCACCAACATTATAGGGGATCTTGATATAACTCTTAAGTATTTTGACCTTTCTGCCCTATAGTAGGCTAATGATTTTAATAAAATAAATCAGCAGAGGACACCAGTGTTGCCTTTTAATTATTCAAGGATACTGCACATTGAGCCTCATGGGAATAAAACAAGAGGGGGTCCTTGTATCAAGACAATTGAGATTATAAATGTGAATGATAGAAGACAAGACGAAAAATTTTTGGAAATAGTGGCTTGGGTGTTCAAAATTAAACTTAAAACACTAAGTTCAAGATACTCTTATCACTCAACTTGTTTATCCTCTAGTTATTGACTCAGCTTTGCTCTATGAGACTGTTTGCTTAATCATCATTACACTTTCTCTTGCCCTCTAAAATTCCTAAATTCCCAGAAATATTTACTCTGTGGCCCTTTACAGACAAAGTTTGCTGACTCCACTTTAGTCTGTTCCAGTTTATGTATGTTGTCACAGTATAATTTTAATAGTGCTGTTTCTACTCATAAATAGATCTCCTATTTGGATAATAATAAAGTACCCTGTTCCGTACTCCATAGGATCTCTTTATTCCGTTCACATTGTTTTCTTACGTGTTCTGGTTTAAACACAGACTGACCAAACATCCTGGTATGTCTAAGCCTGAGGTTATTCCTGGGATGTAGAAATTTTAGGATAAAAGCTGGATAGACTCAGGGAAGCCAGGACACTTGGTCACCCTATTTTCATAAGTATCAGTGTCTCAGTGATGATTACTTCCCTTATGCCTAATGTTTCTTATTATTTTAAACATTTTCCTAAATACCGCATTAAAAAAATAATACTGCTGACACTGCATCCTGCTATCCACAGCCTTTTAATTGTCCCACACTTACATTCAGATTTTAAAATATTTTGATCATCTCTGATAATAGCTAAAGCAGCATAACTAAACCTAAGTTAAATATAATTATTCTGGGTCCTAAGAAAGTTTTGTTATTCTTTTTCAATTTAAGTATTTTAGGGAGTTGAAGAAATGGTTTGGTACATCTTTTTCAATCTTTTATTTATGTACTATAATTGAAAGCCATTATCTTCCAAGCACAACCTTTTTGGATTATATTTTAATACATTTCACTCATAAAAATGTTCAAATTAATTGAGTGAGATTGACTCATACATATGTTGCATCAATGACTTTTAGGTGATAAGCATAATTAACAAGAGAATAATAGTGAAGGTGTTGAATATACTATAATTTCCATCCAGTTATCATCACTATCCATGCATAACAACTCAAAGTTTAATATCTATGGTTTTCATGAACTCAGGTGATTATAATTCAGAGCTTAAAAGCTTCCCTGTTGTTTTGTTAATGGGAGCCACAAGGGCCTCACTGAAGTCAGTGTACTTTGGAAGCTGTTTTATTGGGATAAAGAAATCTAACTGATAAGCCTGAATTGTATAAATATATAAAGGGAATTCATGGAATTATTCTCAGTGAAATAAGTGAAATATGAAAGAATAAAAGAAATAAAAAGAATAAAAGATGCTTTACTATATTAAGTTTATTAACTTTTAACAGTCAACAGTATTTAGGAATTCCCTTCTTTCTAACAAATATGAAATAAACATGAAAGCTATTTCAACTTCATACCATGAACTAATATTTGAATGGATATCAGTATCTAAAAATTGACTTGGAGAATTTAAAAGAGAAATAATTGTTGGCTAAAATTCCAAAATAAGACCATCTCTCCATTGAGGTTTCATGATTCATGTTGGACACAGTTGCTCCCTTTTTTGGCTGCTCATCAGCAGTTGCCAGGAGCTGCATGTTTTGGGTTTTGGTGCTCAGTGGCTACTGTTATTATTAAAGGCAGGCAGCACGTTAGGTAGTGAGTTGAGGAAAAAGTGGCCCTGGTGTGCCTGACCAGCACCCACGTTGGTGGAAGAGTCCTAGGCTGAAGATCATGGTCATGGTCTAGATTCCACAGGAAATGTTGATGGTAGATTTGAGGAGGGTATGGAAGAAAGCAAGAATGCCTGGATCTGGCAAGATGGCTGAGAGATCTGGCAAGAGGGCCAAGTAGGAACAGCTCCAGTCTGCCGCTCCCAGCGGGACCAACGTGAAAGATGGGTGATTTCTGCATTTCCAACTGAAGTACCCTGTTCATCTCATTGAGACTGGTTAGGCAGTGGGTATAGCCCACAAAGGGCAAATAGAAGCAGGGTGGGGCATTGCCTCACCCAGGAAGTGCAAGGAGTTGGGGGCCTCCCTTTCCAGCCAAGGGAAGCTGTGAGGGACTGTGCTATCTTTCCCAGATACCATGCTTTTCCCACAGTTTTTGCAATCTGAAGACCAGGAGATTCCCTTGTGTGCCTATACCACCAGTGCCCTGGGTTTCAAGCACAAAATTGGGCAGCTGATCTGGCAGACACCGAGCTAGCTGCAGGAGTTTTGTTAGTGTGTGTGTGTGTGTGTGTGTGTGTGTGTGTGTGTGTTTTGTGCTCCAGTGGTGCCTGGAACCCCAGGCAGACAGAATCATACACTCTCCTGGAAAGGGGGCTGAAGCCAGAGGGTCTCTCTTAGAGGGTCCCACTCCCACAGAGCCCAGCAAGCTAAGAACCACTGGCTTGAAATTCTTGCTGCCAGAACAGCAGTCTGAAGTCAACCTGGAATGATCAAGCTTGGTGGGGGAAGGGGTGTCCACCATTACTGAGGCTTGAGTAGGCAATATTCCCCTGACAGTGCTAAGGACTGCGTAGAACTCAACACAGCATGGCAAAGCAGCTGTGGCCAGACTGCTTCTCTAGATTCCTCTTCACTGGGAAGGCCATCTCTGAAAGAAAGGCAGCAGTCCCAGTCAGGAGCTCATAGATAAAACTACCATCTCCCTGGGACAGAGCCCCTGGAGGAAGGGGCAGCTGTGGGCACAGCTTCAGCAGACTTAAATATTCCTGCCTGCCAGCTCTGAAGAGAGCAGTGGATCCTGACAAGGAGGGTTCTCCCAGCACAGCACTTGAGCTCTGCTAAGGGACAGACTGCCTCCTCAAGTGGGTTCCTGACCCCTGTGCCTCCTGACCAGGAGAGACCACCCAACAGGGGTTGACAGACGCTTCATACAGGAGGGCTCTGGGAGGCATCAGGCTGGTGCCCCTCTGGGATGAAGCTTCCAGAGGATGAAGCAGGCAGCAATCTTTGCTGTTCTGCTGCCTCCACTGGTGATATCCAGGAAAATATGGTCTGGACTGGACCTCCAGCAAACTGCAGCATACCTGCAGAAGAGGGGCCTGACTGTTAGAGGAAAAACTAACAATCAGAAAGCAATAACATCAACATCAACATCAACATCAACATCAACATCAACAAAAACAACAACAAAAAACCCACACAGAAACCCTATCCAAAGGTCATCAGCCTCAAAGCTCAAAGGTAGATAAATCCATGAAGACGAGGAAAAACCAGTGCAAAAATGTTGAAAATTCCAAAAACCAGAATGCCTCTTCACCAAATGATTGCAACTCCTCTCCAGCAAGGGCACAAAACTGGACAGAGAGTGGGTTTTGACAAAATTACAGAAGTAGGCTTCAGAAGGTAGGTAATAAGAAACTCCTCTGAGCTAAAGGAGCATGTTCCAAACTGATGCAAGGAAACTAAGAACCTTGACAAAAGGTTACAGGAATTGCTAACTAGAATGACCAGTTTAGAGAAGATAAATGACCTGATGGAGCTGAAAAACACACCAAAACTTTGTGAAGTATACACAAGTATCAATAACCAAATCACTCAAGTAGAAGAAAGGATATCAGAGTATCAGAGATGGAAGATCAACTTACTGAAATAAGGTGTGAAGACAACATTAGAGAAAAGAGAAAAAAAAGAATGAAAAAAGCTTCCAAGAAATATGGAACTATGTGAAACCATCAAACTTTTGATTGATTGGGGTCCCTGAAAGTGACGAGGAGAATGGAATCAAGTTGGAAAACACACTTTAGGATATTATACAGGAGAACATCCCCAACCTAGCAAGACAGGTCAACATTCAAATTCAGGAACAGGGAACACCACTAAGATACTCCTCAAGAAGAGCAACCCCAAGACACATAATCATCAAATTCTCCAAGATTGAAACAAAGAAAAAAATATTAAGGGCAGCCAGAGAGAAAGGTTAGGTTTCCTACAAAGGGAAGCACATCACACTAACAGAGGATCTCTCTGCAGAAACCCTACAACCCAGAAGAGGGTGGAGGCCAATATTCAACATTCTTAAAGAAAAGAATTTTCAACCCAGAATTTCATATCCAGCCAAACGAAGTTTCAAAAATGAAGGAGAAATAAAATCTTTACGGACAGGCAAATGCTGAGGGAGTTTGTCAACCAGAGGCCTGCCTTACATGAGCTCCTGAAGGAATTACTAAATATGGAAAAGAAAAACCGGTACCAGCCACTGCAAAAACACACCAAAATATAAAGGCCAATAACACTATGAAGAAACTGCATCAACTAATGTGCAAAATAACCACCTAGCATCATGATGACAGAATCAAATTCACACATAACAATATTAACCTTAAATATAAATGGGCTAAATGCCCCAATTAAAAGACACAGACTGGCAAATTGGATAAAGAGACAAGACCCATTGGTGTGCTGTATGCAGGAGACCCATCTCACATGTAAAGACACACATAGGCTCAAAATAAAGGAATGGAGGAGTATTTACAAGCAAATGGAAAGCAAACAAACAAACAAACAAAAAGTAGGAGTTGCAAACCTAGTCTCTAATAAAACAGACTTTAAACCAACAAAGACCAAAAAAGACAAAGATGCATACTACATAATGGTAAAGGGATCAATGCAACAAGAAGAGCTAACTATCCTAAATGTACATGCATCCAATACAGGAGCACCCAGATTCATGAAGCAAGTTCTTAGAGACCTACAAAGAGACTTAGACTCCCACACAATAATAGTGGGAGACTTTAACACCCCACTGTCAATATTAGACAGATCAACAAGACAGAAAGTCAACAAGGATATTCAGTACTTGAACTCAGCTCTGGGCCAAGTGGGCCTAATAGACATTTACAAAACTCTCCACCCCAAATTAACAGAATATACATTCTTCTCAGCACCACATAACACTTACTCTAAAATCAACCACATAATTGGAAGTAAAACACTCCTCAGTAAATGCAAAAGAGCAGAAATGATAACAAACAGTCTCTCAGACCACAGTGCAATCAAAGTAGAAACTCACTCAAAACCACGCAGCTACATGGAAACTGAACAACCTGTTCCTAAATGACTACTGGGTAAATAACGAAATAAAGGTGGAAATAAGAAAGTTCTTTGAAACCAGTGAGAATAAAGAGATAACATACCAGAATCTCTGGGACACAGCTAAAGCAGTGTTTAGAGGAAATTTATAGCACTAAATGGCCATATCAGAAAGTGGGAAAGAACTAAAATTGATACATGAACATCTCAATTAAAAGAACTAGAGAAGCAAGAAAGAGCAAACAAATTCAAAAGCTAGCAGAAGATAAGAAATGACTAAGATCAGAGCAGAACTGAAGGAGATAGACATGAAAAACCCTTTAAAAAATCAATTAATCCAGGAGCTGGTTTTTTGAAAAGAATCACAAAACAGATAGACCACTAGCCTGACTAATAAAGAAGAAAAGAGAGAAGAATCAAATAGACACAATAAAAAATGATAAAGGGGGCCGGGCGCAGTGGCTCATGCCTGTAATCCTAGCACTTTGGGAGGCCAAGGGGGGCAGATTGCCTGAGCTCAGGAGTTCAAAACCATCCTGGGCAACATGATGAAACCCTGTTTCTACTAAAAATACAAAAAAAAAAAATTATTCAGGCGTGGTGGCATGCACCTGTACTCCCTGCTACTCAGGAGGCTGACATAGGAGGATTGCTTGAACCCAGCAGGTGGAGGTTGCAGTGAGCCGAGATCACACCACTGCACTCCAGCCTGGGTGACAGAGAGAGACTCCATCTCCAAAACAGAAAAAATGAAAAGAAAATCTAGAAGACATGTATACATTCCTGGACACATACACCCTCCCAAGACTAAACCAGTAAGAAGTCAAATCCCTGAATAGACCAATTAAAAATTCTGAAATTAAGGCAGTAATTAATAGCCTACCAACCAAGAAAAGCCCAGGACAAGATGGATTCACAGCCAAATTCTGCCAGAGGTACAAAAAGGAGCTGGTACTATTCTTTAGGAAACTATTTCAAACAGTAGAAAAAGAGGGACTCCTCCCTACCGCCTTTTATGAGGCCAGCATCATCTTGATTCAAAACCTGGCAGAGACACAACAACAACAACAAAAATTTCAGGCCAATATCCCTGATGAACATCCATGTGAAAATTCTCAATAAAATACTGGCAAATCAAATCCAGCAGCACATCAAAAAGCTTATCCACCATGATCAAGTTGGCTTCATCCCTGGAATGCAAGGCTGGTTCAACATATGCAAATCAACAGATGTAATCCACTACACAAACAGAACCAATGGCAAAAACCACATGATGATCTCAATAGATGCAGAAGATGCCTTCAATAAAATTTAACACCACTTCATGCTAAATACTTTCAATAAACTAGGTATTGACGGAACATATTTCAAAATAATAAGAGCTATTTATGACAAACCCATAGCCAATATCATACTGAAAGGGCAAAAGCTAGAAGTGGTCCCTTTGAAAACCTGCACAAGACAAGGGTGCCCTCTCTCATCACTCCTATTGAACATAGTATTGGAAGTCCTGACCAGAGCAATCAGGCAAGAGAAAGAAATAAAGGTATTCAAATAGGAAGAGAAGAAGTCAAATTGTCTCTGTTTGCAGACAACATGATTGTGTATTTAGAAAACCCCATCATCTCAGCCCCAAAACTCCTTAAGCTGATAAACAACTTCAGCAAAGTCTCAGCATACAAAATCAATGTGCAAAAATCACAAGCATTCTTATACACCAATAATAGACAAGCACAGAGCCAAATCATGAGTGAACTCCCATTCACAATTGCTACAAAGAAAATAAAATACCTAGGAATACAACTTACAAGGGACGTGAAGGACCTCTTCAAGGAGAACTACAAACCACTGCCCAAGAAACTAAGAAAATACAAAAAAGAACGGAAAAATGTCCATGCTCATGGATAGAAAGAATCAATATCATGAAAATGGCCATACTGCCCAGAGTAATTTATAGATTCAAAGCTATTCTTATCAAGCTACCATTGACTTTCTTCACAGAACTAGGAAAAACTCCTTTAAATTTCATATGGAACCAAAAAAGAGCCCATATGGCCAAGACAATCCTAAGCAAAAGAAAAAGCTGGAGGCATCACACTACCTAACTTCAAACTATATTACAAGGCTACAATAACCAAAACAGCATGGTACTGGTACCAAAACAGATATATAAACCAACGGAATGGAACGGAGGTCTCAGAAATAACACCACACATCGGCAATCATCTGATCTTTGACAAACCTGAAAAAGCAAGCAATGGGGAAAAGATTCCCTGTTTAATAAATGGTTCTGGGAAAACTGGCTAGCCATATGCAGAAAACTAAAACTGGATCCCTTCCTTACACCTTACACAAAAATTAACTAAAGATGAATTAAAGACTTAAACGTAAAACCAAAAAAACCATAAAATTCCTAGAAGAAAACCTAGGCAATGCCAGTCAGGACATAGGCATAGGCAAAGACTTCATGATTGAAACACCAAAAGCAGTTACAACAAATGCCAAAATTGATATATGGGATCTAATTAAACTAACAAGCTTCCATACAGCAAAAAAAAAAACTATCATCAGAGTGAACAGGCAACCTACAGAATGGGAGAAAATTTTTTGCCATCTATCCATCTGACAAGTCTAATATCCAGAATCTACAAGGAACTTAAACATATTTACAAGAAAAAAAAAACCCCATCGAAAAGTGGGCAAAGGATATGAACAGACACTTCTCAAAAGAAGGCATGTATGTGGCCAACAAACAATGAAAAAAACTCATTATCACTGGTCATTAGAGAAATTCAAATCAAAACCTCAATGAGATACCAACTCATACCAGTTAGAATGGTGATCATTAAAAAGTCTGGAAACAACAGATGCTGTGAGGAAGCAGAGAAATAGAATGCTTTTACACTGTTGGTGGGCGTGTAAATTAGTTCAACCACTGTGGAAGACAGTGTGGTTATTCCTTATGGATCTAGAGCCAGAAATAGCATTTGACCCAGCAATACGATTTCTGGTTATATTCCCAAAGCATTATAAATAATTCTACTATAAAGACACATGCACATGTATGTTTTTTGCAGCACTATTTATAATAGCAAAGACTTGGAACCAAGCCAAATGCCCATCGATGATAGACTGCATAAAGACAATGTGGCACATACACACCATGGAATATTATGCTACCATAAAAAAAATGAGTTCATGTCCTTTGAAAGGACATAGATAAAGCTGGAAACTATAATCCTCAGCAAACTAACACAGGAACAGAAAACCAATATCACATATTCTTACTCATAAGTGGGAGTTGAACAATAAGAACACATGGACACAGGGAGGGGAACATCACACACTAGAGCCTGTTGGGGGATGAGCGGCTAGGGGGAGATAAGTGGCTAGGGGAGGGAGAGCATTAGGACAAATACCTAATGCATGTTGGGCTTAAAATCTAGATGACGAGTTGATAGGTGCAGCAAACCACCACTATGGCACATGTATACCTATGTAACAAACCTGCACATTCAGCACATGTATCCCAGAACTTAAAGCAAAATTAAAAAAATAAAAATAAAGAATGCCTGACAAAAACAGTCTCAGGAGCAAAGACAAGATCAAGTTCCAGAGTATCAGACTTTTTAAAAGTTATTATTTCAATACTTTTTTGGGGAACAGGTGGTGTTTTGTTACACGGATAAGTTGTTTAGCGGTGATTTCTGAGATTTTGGTCCAACCACCACCCAAGCAGGATGCACTGTACCCAATTTGTAGTCTTTTATCCCTCATTGCCCCTGCCACCCTTTCCTCCAAGTCCCCAAGTCCATTGTATCATTCTTATTCCTTTGCATTCTTCTTAAAAGGACGTAGTCAAGGTTCGGTGTCTGAGTAAGGTCTGACCCTGAGAGTCAAGCTGAGCAGATGAAAATGAACAGAAATGGAGGCTGATGAGAAAGGCCAACATTATAGTGAGGGTTTTTGCAGACATGACAACACAAGCAGGGAGGGGAGTTCAGACAGATAAACTGATTTGACCCCTGTCTGCAAATAGCCTTTTCATTCCAGTCTCCTTTCTCATTGTAGTGCTTTCACGTTGGTGTTCTTTCTTTTCTTGGAACAACAATTTTTTTCCCATTTCGTGATTGTATTGTGCTTGTCCTTTATTTCTCCTAACTAGAACTCATGCTATTTCTTTGTACAGCTGGCCTCTTTCTCAGCTTTCAGGCCTTAGCTTCTTTATTACATTTTAAAATGGTGTATTTCCAACCTCAGCATTTATCACAATTATTGCGCTTATTTGTTGTTTGTTTTTTCTAGTGTATGCTTTCTGACTATTAGTGCATGCTTATATTCATGTATTTATTGTCTGTTTTCCCACCAGAAATTAAGTTCAAAGAGGGCAGGAACCTTCCTTCCTTCCTCACTGTTGTTTCTCCAGAGCCAAGAACAAGTTCTGGGAAGAAAGTAAGTCCTCAATAAAAATACTTGGGATCCTTTTATAGTGTAGAAGGTAATTTCCCAAAACAAATGGGGTACAGCTACTAGTACTAGAATTGCTATTATTTGTCTTCTTCCTGCATTTGACGATAAAAGCAGGTGAATTCAAGCACTGGAAACATACCCATGTCTGAGCATCAACCCTCCAGAGACACTGATTTAGTTGAGAACCACTGGGGCAGTTGGAGGACCTGGACATGAGTGAGGCTGAATGAGCAGGAACTAGTGATAGGAATAGAGTGCGGGTCATGGTGGGTGTTATGGTCTGAATGTTTGTGTTCTCCCAAGTTCATATGTTGATATTCTAAGCCCCAAGTTTACGGTATTAAGAGGTGAGGCTTTTGGGAGGTACTTAGATCATGAAGGCAGAGTTTTTGTAGCGATAAAATACCAACATAACAGATAGCAGGCCCAAAGTATAATTTTTGACATATTTTGGAATGTCCTTGCAAAGCTGTCACTTGTAGGGAAAATCTACATTCTGTAGAGAATCCTCTTCCCTTTTCACATCTATTTCCTGATTCAGGAGAGAATTAACTAAGAGTCTGGCAACTTTTTGGGTCTGCCAAGAAACATTGACAGTCTATTCTCTCTGAAGCCTGCTAGCTGGAGGCTTCACCTGCAAAAGAACCTTGGGCTCTACAACCACTTATCTTAACCCAGACACTCCCTTCTAGATACTCTTTTAACCAATTGTCAATCAGAAAATCTTCGAATCTACCTATAACGTGGAACCCCTCTTCTCACCCCCTGACCCCCGCCACCCACTTTGAGCTGTTCTTCCTTTCCAGACTGAACATTTTACATGTATTGATTGATGTCTTATGTCTCCCTAAAATGTATAAACCAAGCTGTAGTCTGACTACCTTGGGCACATATTCTCAGGATCTCCTGGGGCTGTGTCATGGGCCATAGTCACTCATATTTGGCTCAGAATAAATCTCTCCAAATAGTTTACAAATAGAAAAAAATAAAAAAATAAAGGAGGCCTGAGAGAGCTTGTTCACCCTTTTCATCACATGAGGACTCAACAAGAAGGTGCCATATAAGAATAACGGGCTCTCACTAGACACCAAATCTGCCAGCACCTTGCCCTTGGACTTCCCAGACTCCATACTGTAAGAAATAAATTTCTGTTGTTTATAAACTACCCAGTTTATGGTATTTTGATTATAGAAGCCAAAACAGACTAAAACAGTGAGTAACAATAACCCTAACTACTTTTTTTTTTTTTTTGACAAAACTACTTGGTAGAAAGTTAAACTTTGCCACAATTGAGGATTTCTTTTTATGTCATCCTAATATTAAAAGAGCAATGAAAAATGGAAAATTATAATGAGAAAAGTTCAGTTACTAACAAATATCTTTATTCAGAACAATGGAAAGGTAGATTGTGATGCTATGGCAAGTTTAATCTTCTATGAAAACAACTGTGCAGCATTCTTACAATATCCTTGATGTATGATTAAGTCTAAACTGAGTGAAATTTGAAAGTAATAGATATGAGATTACTCGTTAATGTATGTGCACTCCTTAAAACCTTTGGTTTAATAAACCATTGGAAGTATACTATTCTGTTAGTAAATCTTAGATTTGAAAGACAAGGATGTGAGAACCATAGGAAAGATATTTGGGGAATTCAAGAAGTGTCTACGTCATTATGTATAGGAAACATGCTGTATATACATATACATATATGTGTGTGTGTGTGTGTGTGTGTGTGTGTGTATACACACAGCCGTATATACTATTATTATCTAATTTTTTGTCTTTCTAAATCATTCTTTTATTTCTATGAAGAAAAAAATTTGTCATTGATAGTATAAACATATATCTTTCATAAACAAAATGATACACATGTCCTTATACTCTCAAACAAGATAGCCTTGGTTATGCCAAACTTTTTGTCTTGTTTTACAAGGCTCATCTTGATCTGGTTTTGCTTTAAGTCATTAATCACCACACTGCCCTGCGTTTTCTACAGTCATCCCTTCCAACTCATCCTTTCTACTCCAGGACATTGGGCAGGGCCGACTTCGTGGGATGTGATCTGTATTGCACAGGGCTCATGCTCACAAGGGCCTCCCATTTAATTTAAGACTTCTGTCACTGTCTTGAAATTATTATTATTATTATTATTATTTATTTATTTATTTATTTATTTATTTATTTATTTATTTATTTTTGAGACGGAGTCTTGCTCTGTTGCCCAGGCTAGAGTGCAGTGGCGCCATCTCGGCTCACTGCAAGCTCTGCCTCCTGGGTTCACGCCATTCTCCTGCCTCAGCCTCCCTGGTAGCTGGGATTACAGGCGCCTGCCACCAAGCCCGGCTAAATTTTTGTATTTTTAATAGAGACGGGGTTTCACCGTGTTAGCCAGGATGGTCACGATCTCATTATTATTTTTTTTAACAGAGTGTCTTAGACTGTCACCCAAGCTGGAGTGCAATGAAGTGATCTTGGCTCACGGCAGCCTCGACCTCCCAGGCTCCAGTGACAGGCGATCTTACCAATCTCAGCCTCCTAAGTAGCTGGGACCATAGGTGAACACTATCACCCCCGGCTACTTTTTTTTTTTTTTTTTTGGAAATGGGGTTTCACCAATTTGCTCAGGCTGGTCTCAGACTCGTGTGCTCAAGCGATCCACCCACCTCTGCCAAAGTGCTGGGATTACAGGCATGTGTCCAGTCTTAAAAGTCTTAATACTTTAACAAAGACCCCACATTTTTGCTTTGCACTTGGTTCTGCATATTTCCTAATCAGTCATGTCTCTGAGTTCCTGAACAACTTCTGAATTTTACAAAATAGACCTTGCTGCTTTTCTTTTTTCTATTCTTGCATTCTCTCTGTCTGAGTAACAGTCCTGTCATTCTCATGATTATTTCTTACTTTAGGACTCAGAGCACACATTACCTCCTAGGAAAGGTCTTTTCATACCCATAAACAATGATTTGAAGAGCACTGCTCTACCTTTCATTACATTGCAGTTTTGTCTTCATAGACCTAATCGTAAAAGATTGCAAATCCTCATTACTTATCTGTCTTCTTCCCTTTAGACTGTATTTTCTTGGTGGGCAGGGATCTGGAATTATATGTATACTTACATGCTTCTTATATAGGGAATTGCTTGGTATAAAATCAATGAACATTGATTGAATGCTATTGACTTAATGTTAAATTCTCCTGGAAAACCATGAAGTTAGGAGATTTCAGGAGTCAAAAAAGGTAATCCTTTAACCTATTATATTCCTGATTTCTGCCAGCTTATTTTTACCACATGAATAGAAAGAATCTTGGAGAATGGAAGACTCATTGCAAAGTCAGTTAGAAACAATAAGAAAAAATTACTTTGCTAGGGGAAAGACAACAAATAGGAGAGAAAAAAAAGCATTCCACAGAGAGTAATGAGTAATTTATTGACCAGAAATTTATATAATGCTAAGAAAAATAGAAAATACTTAAAATACCTTATGAAGCAGTGGAATATAAGCTCCAGGCAAAGATTTCCCAAAGCAGGAAGAAAAATGAAAGGAAATCATGAACATGATAGAACAAAATATTAGAACATTTACAATTTGGCAAGAATTCAGGGCATGACATGTTTCATCAGTTTTGAGGATTTTGGCCCTGGATCTGTTTCTTAATAACAATATTTGAGAACTCCATGAAATCACCTAGGCCTGAGAATTTAGGATGAGATATACTGTAAGGAAACTGAAAAAATAGTAGGGATTCGTCATTTTATTTTCCTCTAGTGTTGGGGATGGAATATAGAAAATTGACAAAAGAAAATAGATTATAGCTACTATTTATTTTGAAAACCTTTTTTCAAGAAGTGCACTGGTTTACATTATTAAGATTAGTGAAATGCTGAAAGCAAAAACACACCCTAAGTCTGGCGCTCTAGGGTTCTCCATCTGGCTTTTCTGGCAATTACCTGTATGCTATTTGGCAAAAAATTCAACCTCTCTGTGTTCTAATTATTTTATTGGAAAAAAAATGATGGAGTATATAAACTATCAAATTCTGGAGAAGAGAAGTGAGTAACTTTACACTGGTGAAGTATGGCAAACACCTCTTTAATGAAGTGGTTAAAGTGAGCATTGTCACTAATGAGACTATTTGAAATGTGTGCTCTTGAGAGGAATCAAGGAGGGGAACATACTTCACTTCCGTGATAGGCCTGCCAAAGACATATCATTTCAATGTAATAACAAGGAAACATTGGACAAACAAAATTGAGGGACAGTGTACAAAATTATTGGCTTGTAATGTTCAAAAGTATCAAGATCAGTAAAGGCACAGGAAGACTGAAGGACTTTTTCAGATGAAAGAACTCTAAATGCATTGTATGATCTTGTGCTAAATGCTTTTGCCATAAAGGATATAACTAAGAAAATTAGTAAAACTTAAATGGGGCTGAAGATTCGATGGTAGTAATTTCTTGTTTGTGGAGATTTTATATTAAAGTATGTAGGGGTGAGGGACATCAGAGCACTACCTTAATTTCAAATGCTTCAGAAAATGACATTTTGGTACTGTACTTCCTATTTTCCTGTATTTTTGTAATTGTTTTAAAATAAAAAGAAATGGGTGGGGCGCAATGACTCGTGCCGGTAATCTCAGCACTTTGGGAGGCTGAGGTGGGTGGATTACTTGAGGCCAGGAGTTTGAAACCAGCCTGCCCAACATGTTGAAACCCCATCTCTACTGAAAATACAAAAATTAGGCAGGCATGGTGGTGCACGCCTGTAATCCCAGCTACTCAGGAGGCTGAGGCAGGTGAATCGCTTGAACCCAGGAGGCGGAGGTTGCAGTGAGCCGAGGTTGTGGCATTGCATACAGCCTGGGAGATAGAGTGAGACTCTGTCTCAAAAATAAATGAATAAAATAAAATAAAATAAAATAAAATATTAAAAGGCACCACCTGGCACTGAATGACACAACCAAATCCCCCTCCAAATAAATAAAAATCATCAGAATCTTATTCATCCTACCCTCCTAACTCTTCACGTTCCTTTCTTTCAAAATTATTATTCAATTAATATAATTTACTTTGTCCTACTTAAGTCTGAATTATATAAGCTTCAACATGTCTTGATACAGTATCTGGAATATTAGTTAGCATATAATTATTTTTGCATTAACAAATGTAAAAAGATGTTAAAAGGGACTCTACCTGTGATAAAATAACTGAAACTGAATGGTATTAGGTAATCACACATCCTAAAGCCCCTCCATGCCAGACATGCTAACCACACCATTTTGGAGAATTGTAGTCCAGCACATACTTATGCTGATACATAGCAAAAGACAAAGACAGCTTTCACTAAGTGTTCAGGGAGAAACTCTCAGAAAAGGGCTTTCTAGGTGGTGAGAATTTTCTTCCTCAATGCAGTTCAGGCAGGGAGCTTCAGTGGAGAAGACAAACTTTAAACTGAAGAAAAGATAAATTAAACTGAAGAAAAGATAAAATTTGATTTACTTTGGATTGTATTTTTAAATAATTTTAAATAGCATTGTTTAAAAATACTTAATGATGGAAAAATCTATGATTCCTGCTTGAAATACAGGAACAGGGAAGAAAGAACCTTTCTTATTTGATAAATGGTGATATAGGGAGAAAGAAAAAGACATTTCCTGCATTTATCTCACTTAGTCAACCTAGCACAGGAAACTCGTTACATTAAGTAAATAACTCATTAGTTAAAGCACCTGCTATATGAATGCATACCTCACATTGGACCTGATGCTGACCACAAAGAAATAATGCTAATCTCATTCAATTTTCATTTTAGGAGAACCTGCTGAGTTTTAATAAGATTCCTAGATCTTGGCTAGTTCATACAAATTAAAATGAAAATAATCTCTTGAATGTATCTCTGTGTGTTTATATCTTTTTATTTCACAAAATATTGTTTATAAAGACAGATATATAAACTTTGTGGCAGTTTTGAAACTTGAAGTTGTAGGGACACAAACAACAATCTCATTTTAATGAAGTAAAATTCATGGACAGTGTGCTTGACTGAAAAGCAATGGTTAATTCCAGAAAGCCACCTTGTTGAAAATATGAATGTTTGAAGAATTTTAAACTTCATGGAAAAAAAAAAGTGGCCCAAGTTTTTGGGTAAATCTAAGAAAGTACGTTATTCACAGGCATAAATATAAAAATAAAGATAATATTTATCATAACTCACAAATCTATGTTAGTGCTAATAAATACAACTAACTTCCAATAAATACAATTAACTTATTTGGTTGATAGACATATTTTAGGTTCTATCTTAGGTAGTTTTAATGAGATGTTTATACATCTGTTTGTATTTTACAGTTAGTAGGCACATATAGGGGTTAACTTTTCCTTCATTGCTGATTCAATGACTTTCTGAGTTCTTGATACCACCTCAAGGTTACCATTGTGACCTCAGAAACATGAGTAATAAGTGTCCTTATCTAGATAAAACACTAGATCAACTTGATTTTTTTCTAATGAATTTTCTACAGCTATGTTTCTCAAAACTCTTCTCTGAGATCGAATATTGCAGAGCCTGTGCTTCAACAGTAAAAACTTCTGTCCAGCCTATATCATGAAGATAGAACAGTTTATTTTTATCTGATATCAACAGCCTCTCAGTACCTATTGGCTACAAATGCTAATTTGGAATTATAAAGCCAAGCTTTATTTTCTTGCGATTTATTTTCACCTCAAAAGTTCACACTGAGAAAGCTTGTGCTCCTAATTTTTTATTTTATTTACTTCGATTTTGGGTTCCCAACTCTCAATTTTACCTTTATTGTAACTGTCTCCAATATGAGGCATTCAAAATTCATATATGCCTAAAACAAAATCTCAGTCTTGAAGAATAGGTGTATCAAAAAGTAAATTATCGTATCCCAGATTGGGGGAAGGATTATTTTATTTCCAAAGAATCATAACATTAAACAAAGTTCCTGCCCCAATCACCTCTTCTATAGTTTTAGGCATGAATTCCCTGAAGCTGCAATGAAGAAAAAGTGCTGCATTACATATTTCTTCAGAGAAGAAGAGAAAGGAATTTAAATTCTCCCACAACAAACCCTTGGTGCATATTTTTACATGGATTTATATTTTTTCAGGCCAGTTCTCTTCGCAGGCTGGAGAAAAATATTATAGTTTTCATAACATGTTTATAGTTGAAAATACCTATTTCCAAGACATTGGCAAGATCTTTATTTGCATGTAAAATCTTAAAAAGTTAAACAGGAGATGAATAAATATAGAAAGAAAATAAATCCTAGTAACAGCACTCATTTCTTAGAAACTTTGTTTCCAAAATGGTGATCAAAAATCACTTTTGAATGCTAAATAAACCTAACATAAAGAAACACTATTAAAAATTAAACTCATATGTTTTGAAAGTCATTAACTAAAATGTATAAGTGTGTGTCATTTTGAAAGGCCAATTTCTCATATGCTTACTCAGAGACATATGTCAAATGAACACTTTAACTTAAGTCCTACAAAAATATTTAAATGTGTCTTTCATTCACTTGTTGTAAGCTTTGCAACTCAGCTTCTTTTAAATAAAGGATGAAATATACAAATCCCAATTTTAAATGCTGCTGCCTATCATCTACTTTTTTAAAAATCCTGTTTATCTTGTGATTAATTTGCACTACACTACTTCATATCACCAAACATTTATGATCATAATAACTAGATTTTTTAGTCTTGTCGTATGCCAAACATTTCTGTAAGCATTTTACATGTATCAATAGATTCATTCCTCAGATAAACATATGAGGTAGTTATTAATATTATACCTCTTTTTAAAGAGAATAAAACTGGGGCCCGGAAATATTAACCAATTCCCCGGTAATCACACAGTTACTAAGTGAACGAACAAGGATTCAAACCCAGGTAACCTGGCTTCAGATAATTTTTTTTTACATCATATTGTCTGATACCACCTAATCATACCTAAAATTTTTGCCCCCACTCTCTTATATAATGTAAGCATCCAAAAAACATAGAATTTTATCTGAACCTAGTGATAATATTTTTATTCCTTTTAAAAAACATAATCCTCCTGAGAATAGAACGATTTTCTGAAGGATTAATATGAGCCTTGTGTTTCCAACATTATGATGAACTGGAAATTGCAAAATTCTCCTGCTGTGTAATATCTAATAAACATTGATAAAATAATTTAAAACAGTCTTAAGTAGCTGGATGAGCTTGCATAAAATAGTAGAAATTAGCTCAGATCAGATGCAGTCAGGGAGCAAGGATTATGAATTTAAGCTAGTGTTAAAAATGAGAGTTAATCTGAGGGTACAGGTAGATTCCACATTTTCTAGAGCTTCAAAAGCAAACATCTGAACAAATCACATGCTCTTTTAGCAAAAACAGAAAAAGACGCTCCGTAAAGGCAAATCGTAAAATAAGTAAAGTATAATGTATAATTTGGCTTTAGTGCTAAGTGGAGTCTTTATGTAAACAAAACCTTCATTGAGACTATGGGGTCAAAGTCTGGTCTTAACATATTTTGTGGTCTGAATCTACTCTATCATTCAGTTCAAAATATGTGAGTCAAGAATTGCAATGTGTATTGGACCTAGATCTATTTTTTTACTTAGGTACCTGGAAGAAGCAATCCAAAATTTTCCCTGGACTATATATACTCAACATACAATGTAAACAAGTATGAATTCTCAATAAAAAATTATGCCACACATATGAGAGAACAAGCATCCATGAGTGAGAACCAACAGAAACAACAAACAACAATAACAGAATTACAAAAACTCATATATTAAGAATATTTTAAAGAATGCTAAAGGGATATGCTTATTAAGTTTCAGAAAATAAAATGGAATTAAAAGTGTAAGATCAGAGTTAAAAGGCTACCAGAATCAACTAGGTATATTTAACAAAGGAATACAGAAAAGTTGTAGAAAAAAAAATAATGTAGTTAAAATTAGCAACTTAGTTGTTAAGTGGAGGTTTGAGAAAGCCAAAGATAATTGGTGAATAGAAGAGGGATCAGAAGAAATCACAAAATATTGTAGCACAAAGTAATAAAAAAGTGAAAATGTAAGAGACATTATGAATAGGGCAAGAAGTTTCAAAATATATTTTAAATAGATACCAGGAAAAAAATGATAGAAAAGGCTGAGCGTAGTGGCTCACACATGTAATCCCAGCACTTTGGGTGGCTGAGGCCGGTGGATCACAAGGTCAGGAGTTCGAGATCAGCCTGGCCAACATAATGAAACCCCATCTCTACTAAAAATACAAAAAATTAGCCGGGCATGATGGCAGGTGCCTGTAATCCCAGCTACTCAGGAGGCTGAGGCAGGAGAATTACTTGAACCTAGGAGGTGGATGTTGCAGTGAGCCAAGATCACACCACTGCACTCCAGCCCAAGTGACAGTGCTAGATTCCATCTGAAAAACAAAAACAAAAACAAAAAAACTACATAGAAGTAATATTTAGATCATAGCAAGCAGAGAGTAAAATACATCTTTAGCATCCAGAGAGAAAATAGCTGTTCAATTATATTGATTGCTCAGGAAAACCATTTTAAAGAAAAAAAGCAAGTAAAACATCTTCAGATAACCAAAAACGTACTCTCATTAACAGAAATTCTAAATGACCCAAAAGGAGAAAAAAAAAAAAAGATGCCAGAAAGAATATCTGAAATGGAAGTGAGACTGGTGAGCAAAGAAAATAATCATATACATCTAAAAACAAATTAATGATATAAAACAATAGTAATAATTAGTTTGAGCTTGTAACAATGCTGTTAAAATAACAGATAACAATTGCATGCAAAGTCCCAAGGACCCAGGCTCCTGAATGTCATTCCCATTGCTTAAGCCTGCTTTCAGAGCTTCTAGCTCTAGTTTTCCACTTGTCCATTTCTGTTTTTTCCAGCCTCAAAGACAAAAGTGAATAGAGTTAAAGGCATCCTAGATCTTTATTTTACTCTAGTCATCTGCAAAGAGGTTGATTTTATAAATATTCACTGGAATATTGATAGTAACTACTAAAAGAATAGAAACCTTCAAATAAAGTAGAAAGAAATATGTAATAATAAACTCAAGCAATATTTTAAAAGACAGGTAACGGAAATACACACACATGCACAAACACATACACACACACTGAGGAGAGAAGAGTAAAACAAAACAAATAGAACAGTACAAAATGAAAATGTCAGAACTAAATTATATTAGTAATTGCAATGAATATGCCAGCCTGACAGTACAAAACACCTGTGCCTTTAGCAGGATCTCCCGCCCCTCTCCCTATAAGGAGCTTCATGTTCTACTTCCAGTAAGTGAAATAAAAGGGAAATGATGTGCCTTCTCCTGCCTTTTTCCTTCTTTCTGACTGAAGGAAGAATAAGATGGCTGGAGCTTAAGTGGTCCTTGTGCTATGAGGTGGAAGCCATATGTTGAGGATGACAGAGCAACAAAACAGGAAACATCTGGTTTTCTTACCGGGGGTGGGGTCCCATGCCAACCCTGGGCTGCCTCCCTTTGGATTTTATTTTTAGAAGTTGTGATGTGCCTTTGGGAATAGAGCTTGTGTTCTACTGGGAAGTTGCTGGAGGCCATTTGAAAAGGGAATACCATAGTTCTTATACAAGGACACAGAACATGGCCTAGAAATTGGTAGAGATCCAGATGGACACGTCCCCTTGACAAGAGGAAAGACATTGCTAGAGAAGATCCACAGCAGAGCCTCTAGAGAAATAAGTCCCAGATCAAAAACCATGGTGCTTGGGCTTAAGGGAATGCTGAAAGCCTTCATATAATTGTAATGAGGGATAAATGAGATAACATAGGAAAAGTACATAGCTCAATACCCAATACAGAGTAAACACTCAATGCTGGTAAAATTGGGTACTAGGGGTTGGCTTTAGGAGAAAATTCATTTTCTTGCCTTTTACAGCTTCTAGAGGCTGCTGGCCTTCCTCATCTAGTGGCCATTTAGTCCATCTTCAAAGTGCTTTAGTCCAACCTCTGTTCTGCCATCATATATGTTTGGTGAATCTAATTCTACCTCCTTCCTCTTATAAGGACACCTGTGAATACATTAGAGCCACCAAGATGATTCAGAATAATCTCCCCATCTCAAGATCACTAATTTAATTACATTTACAAAGTTCCTTTTGCCATTTAAGGCAATATATTCACTAGTGCTGAGGATTAGAACATGGACATATTTGTTGGGCAATTATTTAGCCCACCAAACTTCTGGTAAATTTTATTTAAAGATTTACATTTATATAAACTTTAGTCCAGCTGTTACTCTTCCCTGCCTGCTGAGAAATCTGTCTATTGCATTTCCATCTTCCTTTATACATTTTTCCTCTAGTCATGGAGGTTTTTATAGAACTGTTTTTCCCCCACTGGCTTTCTGGCGTTTGCCGTCTTGGTCAGATATGAGCTGTGGCTTGAGCTGCTCTTAAACAACTGTTCATTAACCAAAATTGACCTGCGATATGGTTTGTCTGTGTCCTCACCCAAATTTTACCTTGAATTATAGTTCCTATTATCCCCAGGTGTCATGGGAGGGATCTGGTGAGAGGTAATTGAATCATGAGGGTGATTACCTCCATGCTGTTCTCATAATAATGAGTTCTCATAAAATCTGATGGTTTCATATGGGGCTTTTCCTCTTTCTGCTTGGCACTTCTCCTTCCAGCCACCATATGAAGAAGGATATCTTTGATTCCCCTTCTGCCATGATTGTAAGTTTCCTGAGGCCTCCCCAGCCATGCTGAACTGTGAGTCAATTAAACCTCTTTCCTTTGTAAACTACCCAGTCTTGGGCAGTTCTTTATAGCAGTGTGGGAATGGGATAATACAGTAAATTTGTACCACAAAGAGTGGAGTGCTTGCCTGTGCCAAGACTGAACTCAGGCTGTGAACATCATTCCTATAACCTAAGTCCTTTGGTTACCTCTTCCAGTACTTCTTGCTCTAGCTTTCCTCCTGTCGTTTTTTTTTCTTTTTTTTACTCCTATTGTTCAAGCTAGAAGTGAACTGTTTCAGCCTCTGCTAAGAATACAATCATTCACAGGACAAAATGGCAACAAAACTGAAGAAAATATTCACCCATGAGGAATATATATCCTACTCCAACCTGAAGCTGCTCTATGCTAAGACTCTTGTGGCAGTGTCCCGCAGCTCTTCAAAACACTAGAAGAACATACATTCTCGATTTAGCTCTAGACTTCCAGTAACAATTAACTACAGTAAATACAGGGAGCAGCAGTGGAATGAATATGTGAGCCTTGGTCCTCCAAATTAAATAAGGAACAAATCCGCAGCCCTCAGGTTAAAGTGGAGCTTTTTGAAATTGCAGTTTGTGAAGGATGGTTCTCACCAGTCGCCTTTAATTCAATCAGCCAGCTAATTAATTTTCCAGTTCCAAAAATGTTTTCAATAAACAGAATCCAAAATAATAATACATGTTTATATTTCCTCAGCAATTTCCAGCAAAAGACATTTGTAACTATCTCTCATAGCCAAGAATGATTTTATAAGTTCAGGCTTATATCTTCATGTGAAAATAACCCACTAGAATTACGTTATTACATGTGTTTTCTCAAAGATTTATAGATGCTATTTAAGAGTTGTCTATATAGAATTTTCCACTAACAAATATTTCACTATCTCCTTACAGAAGGAATGTTATAGGTAGAAGATAATTTCATCCAACTTGTGAGAAATAATCAATTCTGATGTGTATAATCTTTATAATTAGTATAATATTGGCTAAAATTGGAAAAAAATATTCTGGAGTCTCCATTTATGGTAAAAATTTTGAATAAACAAAGGGCATGATTTTTTCTCTATTGGGGGCTCTTTGAGCTCATTAGAAATGTCATAAATTTCATAGCAAGAGCTCCAGAGAGTGAATTCTTGGATTAGTGACATGTGTTACTCTATTAGAGTAACAGTAGATGATTAAAGCTACAGTGATCTGAACTTCAGATCTCCCCTGATCCATCATTGGAAACTTACTAGGTCTGTTGTCTTTCCAGAGTCTCAGAATGTCAGAGCAGGAGACCAGATCAACTTGATGATCTCTCCTGCAATGGTTCTCAACTCTGATGGCATATTTAAACCAAGCAAAAAGCTTTAAAATTTGCAAATGCCCAGGAGCCATCCCAGACCAATTAAATTAAAATACCTGGGAGTGGAGACCAGGCATTTGTATATAGTTCAAGTCTCCCAGGTGATTCTAATGTGTAGTCAGGTTTAAATCCAATTGCCTTTTTGCTAAGTTCTTCAATGTACAGAGGAGATCTAGTAATTCTAGAGATCAGTGAGTGGAAACAGGTTCATTCTCTTCTCTCTCATGTCATTTAGATAATGGCTCTGCCTCCAGAAATTAGAAACTCATAGCTTCAACACTTTTGTATCCTGAAGTGGCAACTTCTAGGAGCCTCTCAGATCCCACAGATAGATCACTTCATGTTTCAACTGAACATAAGATCAGGCTTGTGAGAATCACATCACAAATGAGCATACATAAATTTAGATTATTAGGAGACCCATACATTAAATAGAAGGGTATTCTAGGAAGCCTATACGATCCTTTCCACACTAATAGCCTTTGTTTTAATTTTCACTTTAAGATTAAGGCCATTTTGGAGTAGGGTGATGGAGAACACAATTCAGCAGTAAGAAAAACCCAAGTCTCCCTATCACTATTGGACTAATAGTTTCAGCTCTTGTTCACCTTTATAAATTAACATGTATGTTTTGTGTGCTTCTAGTGGTCAAAGCATGCCATTGTTGAACATAATTCCTACACTGAAGCAGCATGTAATATCACTCCACATATAAAACAAATGAAAGCTAACTGAACTGTTTTGAACTTACCACAGGTGCTCAAAATAATTTACAGTGATTGAATTGTTGATTGATTAAAACTGTTGCTTTTCCAATAGTCCAATATTTAATGATTCAGATATTTTAAGATCTGTAAATTGGGTCCTGACATTAGACATTTTACTCCCCTATCCAAAATTTCAGTTTCTAGCCCCTCTTGATTGCTAGCCTGCTTTTCGGATGGTTCTGTCTGGACATAATGGAATGGAATATCACAGCCATCTCCTGTACTCTCCTCCATCATCTCTTGTCCTGTTAATTTATCATAATTTCAAGTTGTAGAAAGGAAGAAAAACTCGGATAACATCGATTGAGCCTGCTTTTTCCTCTGACAAGGATAACAGATTCCTCACAGGAGAACAGCCTCCTGATTCAATACTTCAGAGTTTTATCAAAGGGACTTAGTATCATTTCATGGCTAGTAGCCCACTAGTCATCTTCCTAACGTCTATCAAGTAGGGACCCCCTAAGAACACTGTGCTGTTCCAAGAGGTGCCTGTGTCACCATAACCATTCTACAAATGAATGTTTTGGATGGAAGTTTTGACATGACAATTCTGTAACAGTTCGGCCAACATCTGCAGAGAAATGATCATAGTAACTGTTAGAAAATACCACAGTCTTCAAGCCTGGGCTTGCTGGGATAAGGAAAGGCAAGAGGAAGATACTCTGAGAAACTGAGCTTGGGAAACTGGCCTGTAATTCACCCTTGTAGTTGCCACTCCAGGATTTATTAGGTTGCAGTGAGAACACTTAAAATCTATTCTCTTAGCAATTTTCAAGAATATAATTACTTATTAGGTATAGTCACCATTTTGTACAATAGATCCGTTGAATTACTCCCCCTATCTAACTCAAATATTTTATCTTTTGACAAACATCTCCTCAATCATTCTTCCCTTCTCCCAGTCTCTGGCAACCACCTTTTTACTCCATATTTCTAGGAGTTCAACTTTTTAACACTCTGCACGTAAGTAAGATCATGCGAGTGTTCTCAGCACAAAAATAAGTGTGGAAGATAACACATATGTTAATTAGCTCCATTTAGCCATTTCACAATGTGTACATATTTCAAAACAATATGCTTACACAATAAACATATACAAAATTTTATTTGTCAATTTTTAAAAAATGAATAAAGAATGTGTTAGGTTATAAACAAATACTTGAAACCTTATGGGTAGGTGTCTGGCTATAACAGTCAGGAGGAGCCACCAGAACACAGAATGACAAAAGGAGTTTCTCCACTTACCTCCACTGGTAATTAGATATTCTCACACTAGAAAGACAGAGATACGTTTGAAAGTGACAGGAATCCAGAGACGTATCTAGAAAGAAAAATGCTGCAGAGTCCCACCTAGAGCCATGTTCAGACAAGTGCATCTATCCTACATCTACATTCATTTCCTCTGTCTGTTGATGACTTTCTGTCAATTGCTACCACCTTTTGGAAAATTGTGAAACATGTAAACAAATTGAAGAAGAGTTAATTGACTTCAGAAACTAATTTCTTTTCCTGCAAATTATACGAATCACTGTATATTCATTTACTTGAAATTCAGCAATCATTTATTAAGATCCAGCATTATAATATTGACATTAGTAACTAGACCTGCATGCTTCATACCTTTGCTTGATTAAACTTTCTTTCTAATACACATTTTTTTCATTTTGTTACTTACTCAAAACATGTTTATTTACTACAGGAAATTTTGTAATTCAACTTGGAATTCAACACTAATCTGAACCTGCCTTGGTCAATGTTTCTCTTTATGAGTCCCATCACCACACTTCATTAACATATTTCCTTGTGAATTTCTGAACTTGCTTTGCTCTTTCTCTGTTTACACCTTTGCTATTGTCATTGCCTTTACTGAAATTTCTTGCCACTATCCAATCCATCCTCATCTCTCAATAGCAGGTTTCATATCTACCTTTCTCCATGTAGCTTATTTATAGGTTACCCAAGTAATCCAAATTTCTTCTTTGAATTTCTATAGCACGTATTGTTTATGGTGCTCTTCAGACATCATTAAAATTTAATTGTGAGACAACATCCTTTAGTGCAAAACATTCTATAATGTTATGTTAATTTTGTGACCCACACTAAGTGCTGTAGAAATGCCTAGAAGAGAAAGATCATTGAAAGATGTTTACATTCACACTTTATTTCAAGCACAAATTAAAGCAGATGTTCCTGAATGTAAAATCCTGTGTTTCTTTGAACTTGGAAGTTGTGCCAACTTCTGTATAAGAGAGAATAATTTCCTGCCAAGAAACAAAAATGACAAGTTTCCATTTAATATCTTTAACTCCTCCTTGATGGAAGCAGAAATGAAAGGTAGCAACTGTTTATTATGCTTTATTGAGACAGCAAATGTACTCATTTAAACACTGAATTGATTTATTAAGAACCTGCATCGACTATGTTTTCTGGAAACTGATATATATACAAATAGGATTTTGAAGGGGGTTACACCCCTTAGCCTTACAGAAATTGACTTAAAGAGCAATTTTTTTGTCTGCCAATACAAAGCTATGTAGAATATCTTTGCTTAGATATTTAAGACATTTTTGATGTCTTAAATATAATATATTACCTCTTAGAAACTTTGCTTTTCAAATTTTCATGTGCACACACATCACCTAAGGATCTTGATAAAAACATAGATTCCAATTGCAAATTCCTGAATAGGACCTAAATTCTGCATTTCCAATAAGCTACATAGCGATGCAGACTACACTGTGAACAACAAAAGGCCCCTAAACCCCTTTCTCCCACTGAAATGAAGCACCTTCTCCCCCCACCTCCCACTAACCTGAAAGTTCCCAGTACTGTAGCTGGCAAGGCACAGATACATGTCAAAGGTCAAAGAGGTGTGTTTCCATCTGTAGTTCACAATCACTTTTAATGCATTTTCTTGGGAACCTGTATTATAAATGGTAGTAAGGTATAATTGAATAATTGATTTTTTTTATTTATTCTTTCAACATTTGCTGAGTACTATCTATATGTAAGGCATAAAAATAAAGATAAATAAGACCCAGTTTCATGGTTATGACATTTGCTTGTTTCACCTGCTAGAATGTGATTCTATTATGCACAGCATTATAGAGATAGTGAGCATTAAGATACCAAAATCTTCTTACAGTAATCTAGTGAGTAAGATACTTCATCCATATCATTTGTGGAACAATAAGGATTGAGTTGCTGATCTCAGGAACAATACCACTCCCTCCTCCCAATGGAGGGATAGCCAAGGGAAAGAAAATCAAGAAATGTTGGTAATAATTATCATTCTAATGAAAATATTTCACTGTCCATCCTAATAAGAAAAATTCTGACAACCCTAGACCCCCCAGTGTGTTTTTTTCATTTTTCTTGCAAAACTATAGTGTTGTTCATTCATTCATTTATTTACTCACTTGTTCATCCAATCTTTACTACACGTCAGATGCAATTCAGGGTCCTGGAGACACAATGGTGAATGATACAAGACTGACTATATGGAGCTTATGTAACACTGAGGATGAGAAAGAGTGTGTAGTGAATGAATAAAGAAATAAACAAGAAAGTATTTAAGAGTGGCGAATACTTTGAATAAGTAACTAAAGGCTAAATGACAGTGGCTGAGAGGGAAGTTACATCAGAGGACACCTGCATGTCCTCTGCCTCCAGTACAGAATACCTCACTTTCAAACCAGGAGTTGCTTGGCCTGGGGGAATATTTTTATTTATCCCCTATTGTTAAGGAATCTTAATCCTAGTCTCCTGAACAAGTAAACTTTTTCATAGCCATTTGCTCCATGCCAATCATCAAGTAAATGGAGTCATAGCAACATGCTCTGAAACATGATCTAAAAAAATAGTTACATAGTTCTTTTCTTTCCCTAATGTCTGACTATATTTATAAACAATATGATTGGCTTTATTTGATAAGAAAAATACAAAATTCTATGGAAACATAAATAATAAGGTTTATACCAGAGTTACCTTGGAAATCAAACCAGGATTGTGAAGACAGGACATTGTCCTTGGGGCCACATGAATGAACAGCATTTCCACAGGCAAGACAAGGATAGAAGCATTCTAGGCATTGGGAAGTCATGGTCAAAGGCTCTGAAAGGAAGAGCAATTACCATTTGGTGGATATTCTACTGTGTTTCTGGTGTTGTACCAGTCACTTACATATGCCTAATATAGGAACCTATCTTCTATGTATAAAAATACCATTTACTAAAATAATGGGGCCGGGATTAAAACAATTAGAACCTGCCATGTTGGTAAATGTCCAAATAATGTGTATACATCATGGCAGGTGAGAAGAATCACAAGCATGAAGGCATGTCCTTGAGTCTTCAGGAATTTATGATCGGTAAAACATGCAATCTATGCAAACATGCTCAGTTATAGCATAAATGTGCCTATTGCCTTGCTTCTTGGAAGTCCATTTTAAGTTTCCTATCAGATTTCCTTCAGAAATCTGCTGACACTCTGACTCCTAATCGATCTTGATATTTTAGGCAGGTGGCTTTGTACTTGATCTTAGTAATTCAGTTTACTTTATGTACCTAAGCACTTTAGGTATCTGAGCATTACATTTCCTGCCTGTGCCATTGCCATTCACACCCATGTCTCTACATTGACCATTAAAAGTTGCTCATGTTGTGACAAAACTGGGGATACAATGGTAAATTGGAGATGGGCTACACGGGAATTGACATAGTTCTTAAATAGGTGTTTATAATGTTAAGTCTTCCTGTATTTTCTTACTCCCTTCAGCATGATGAGCAGAAAGTGAAAAGGACTTATATCTGAACTTTCCATTTGATTATGTTTCTACAGTTTGTTTAAAATTTGTGGATTTGTAATAAAATGATAGATGAAAAGCAGATGTCTACTTTATCAAAGGAACTATCCATATATTTCAAATTCATACATTAACATCCAGAGACAGAATCTATGTAATTAAGTAAATTTTTTTCCATAGAAGATGTTTACTAATTCAATTTAGATTTTTTTTCTCATCAACAATAATGGTAGAGCCCACAGGCCAAGAGTTGTTATTTTTTCCATTTAAAAATTTCATTTTTAAGATTATTATTTTTGTAAAAAATGAAAAATACCCAGAGCATTTACGTTAAGTGAATTATTCAGATATTAAGCTCTTTTTATGTTCAGAATATAATTAGTTCTCTCAGCTTTAAATTTGACATGTAAGTGCATTTTCTGTTATGTAAAGTAAATTTGACTCTAGCATGAACAATAATATTAACTGAGATAACAATACCTGCCCTACCAACCACCAACACTCAAATATACTAATCTGTTTGTCATTTAACAAAAATGGATTGCATGCTGATCATGTGCCAGGCACTGTGACAATCTAGTTATCTCTAAGACTACAAATTTGAGTGATTGCCTTATAAAATAATTAAGACTCAACACTAGTTGATTAGTTGATATTCTATCTAACTCTCAATGCCTCCTTTCCGTGTAGGCATTATTGCAGTTTTTCCAACTTTGAAATAGAAACTCAAAAGTTAGGATGGTTACCCACATTTTGTACATCTGATAAACATAAAGAGTTTTATTGGATTTGTTTGAACCTGTTTTTCTCTTTCAAGACTCCTGCCTTTTTACTTTACCACACAGTCCCATGTGTTTTCGTCTCTCTATTTTCTGCATCCTAGCAGCAGCTTTGCAATTATAATCCTAACTACCCTCTACACTGAACGTTGGGTTTCAAAGTTGATCTTCAAAATTACCCTGAGAAAGTTGAGAGAGTATAATTACTACACTTGATATTAAAGCTCTTTATCATACTTACTTGTTGAATTTGAATTTTAACAATTTCTTGTACTGCCTGCCAGCCTATTGCTCCTTAAAACCAGTGACCATGTCTTGCTTATTTTTGCATCACTATTCCTAGAATAATGCTGGCCAAACAACAAGTGTATTGTAAATTGAACTGAAATGAATATTCCTAGGCCAGGCACGGTGGCTTATGCCTGTAATCCCAACACTTTGGGAACCCGAGGCAGGTGAATCACCTGAGGTCGGGAGTTTGAGCCAGCCTGACCAACATGGAGAAAACCCTGTCTCTAATAAAAATTAAAAAAATTAGCTGGGCATGGTGGCACATACCTGTAATCCCAGCTACTTGGGAGGCTGAGGCAGGAGAATCGCTTGAACCTGGGAGGCGGAGGTTGCAGTGAGCTGAGATAGCGCCATTGCAGTCCATCCTGGGCAACAAGAGCAAAACTGTCTCAAAAAAAAAAAAAAGAAAGAAAGAAAGAAAGAAAGAAAAGAAAGAAATGAATTTTCCTGAAACTATTTCTGCTACTTTCACTATAATAGTGTAAAGTTACATTTAAAAGTTTAAATTATGTCCAATATTTTCCTGTTTAAGAAATGCTTATTTAATTTGAAATAGATTTCCATTAAATGATTATAATAAAATTAGGAGAGCTGTATTTTATGGAATAGCCCTCAGATATAATATATTGACAGAGCTTTGAAAACTAGAGCAGTTCAAATATCATATCTTATTATGATCTCTGAAAGATTCAATACAATCCTGTCAGAGATCATTTTGCTTTGTTTTCACACATTGTAATATTATCTGTCACATCCTTTCTGCACTAGGTTATCTTTGGTGGTACACTGATGATAGCTCTTAAACTATTAACCTCAGAACAATCTGGTACAATGACAAATCTTTTATGAAGCAATTAAGTTCAAGGAAATCAAAAGGAAGAAATGACAGTTACCAAAGGAAGAAAGGGCTAGATTAAATTATGCCATAAATTATAAACAGAGAGGTCTATTGTTTCACTCCTCTGAAAGAAATACCCTCCCTCACTACTAAATTTTAACACACTACCACTCATGGTGATCCTGCCTCTAATTTGCCTTCTTCATGCTTCTGAAAATTATTTTTCTTTTCTGTAGAATTCCCTATTTTTTCCCCATCAATTAACTCTCTCTGGGGCATAGAAAAGTTACAACTCCTTTATACCACTAACATTTAATTCTTTCCCATTAGTAAGACTAAGCCCACAGTATCAGCCCGGGTTCTTAGCTTCAAGCAAGGAAAAACAACATGTTTAAAAAATATTAGGTAATTCCCAAAATTACGTAGAATGGTGGCCCATATCTGGTGCTATTCAAACAAAAACAAGGTTCAAAACTTGCATGAATTAGTCCATTCTCATGCTATTAATAAACACATACTGGAGGCTGAGTAATTTGTAGAGGAAAGAGGTTTAATTGACTCACAGTTCAGCATGGCTGGGGAAGCTTCAGAAAACTTACAATCATGACAGAAGAGGAAGCAAACATGTCCTTCTTCACATGGCAGCAGCAGGGAGAAGTGCCAAGCAAAAAGGGGAAAAGCCCCTTATAAGGCCATCAGATCTCATGAGAACTCACTCACTATCACGAGAGCAGCATGAGGGTAACTACCCCTATGATTAAATTACCTCCCACTGGGTCCCTCCCTGTGACATGTGGGGATAATAGGAACTACAATTCAAAATGAGATTTGGCTGGGGACACAGCCAAACCATATCATTGCCCAAGTAGAGAACATGGTAGGTAAGTCCCCCCACTGAGAGGAATGACTACACTAGCATGGGGCACAGGATGCTGTTGCAAGCATTGTTGCTTCCCACTGTCTTCATAACTCAATTTTACTCTCTGCCAGAATTTTCTTTCCTTATTCTATCTCATTGAGAATGTACTGATGAGCCAAGCCTAGTAGGTGCATCTGATTTGCAGATCAATAGCATGGCTGTAAAGAAAGCCAGGAAAGCAAACATCAGGCATATTTAGCTTTTATACTAGAAGGCATCTCTGACTCTCACCAAGACCTATCAGGGTTCAGATGCTGGACTGCCCTAAAGAAAGAGAAATATGAACTTTATGAATATATTCTTCCATCATAAAGAAAGTATGAGGGATTTGAGTTCACAAAAGCTAATGTCTACCAAGGAGATCGTGACTTAAAATCCTATGCATTAATCAAAACAAACATAAGTCAATGTGCATTTTATAGAATGCTATATTGGCACTATACCAAGAAATT